>NC_000005.10:85867382-86170413 GCF_000001405.40 Homo sapiens
GAGTAAAAATATAGATGTACACATTCATAGATGTAAGAAAATGTCACCATAACTCCCTCTAGCAGAGAAGTGGATTTTGTTTAGTAAATACATTTATAACTGTCTTGTGGGGAAAGGTGAGACCCTAGGGGCAGTCATTAGGTAGCAAGTCTATAAAAGAACTAGCTAAAATTTTCTGTGTGATAAATAAAGAAGAGTCTGTAGAGTAAGAGAGAGATGATAGGAGGAAAAGGAAGATATGCAACAAGATGACGTGAAGCTAGTATTGAACGTGGAGGAAAGAGGTAATACAAAGTATCCCAAGAAATAAGATTTGAAAAGAACAATTACCAGCATTTTTTTTAATCTTTTTTTGAGACGGAGTCTCACTCTGTCCCCCAGGCTGAAGTGCAGTGGTGCGATCTCGGCTCACTGCAAGCTCCTCCTCCCGGGTTCATGCCATTCTCCAGCCTCAGCCTCCTGAGTAGCTGGGACTACAGGCGCCCGCCACCACGCCCGGCAAATTTTTTTGTATTTTTAGTAGAGACGGGGTTTTGTATTTTTAGTAGAGACGTAGTAACCAGGATGGTCTCGATCTCCTGACCTCGTGATCTGCCCGCCTCGGCCTCCCAAAGTGCTGGGATTACAGGTGTGAGCCACAGCGCCCAGCCAATTAACAGCATGTATATCCACATTGCAACCTGAATGTGTCTGAGTTTGCTTTGTCAGCGTGTAGTAGAAGAAGGGTGGACTTTTGCCCAAACTTTGATTCAGATGTGCAGACTGCAAACCCCCGCCATAGAAATAGTTTATTATTCATGCAAGGGACTACAGGGGAGAGCACAGCTTGCACAAGCAGATCCAGACTGCCTTGCGGGAAGCAGAGGGAGTTAGCTCTTTCACAGACGCTAGGGGGTGGGATTGGGGAAAAGTTCCCATGCTGGCTGGAGATGTACAAGGTTCATATTTCCCAAGGGTGCCAATGTACACCTTGTAATAAGTCTGTCCATATGTAGAACCAAAGGGGAAAGAAAGATGAAGTTTAAAACAATGTCAGTAGCCAAACATCAAAAAAACGGTTGGACTCTTTATTACAGAGTTGCTATGATGAAATGTCCTTCTCTAAACTCCAAATCTTCCATTAATTCTACTAGATTGATGTATTATATAGATGAGGTTTATGTTTATTACTGATTTTGTTTGGGTGAAATTCAAGGAAGATGCCAATATTTTACAGAACAACTATTGATGTCAGAGATGACATGAGAACATTAACTCTACAGTACCAGGAATATCTTTGAGGAGTTTAGCACAACTTATGTGCACTACTGGAGCTGAAGAGTTTTACTAGATTTGAAGTGGGAAAAAGATCTCAGCTAAAACAAAGGCAATCAGCACATAAAACATGTAAATTCAGTTGCAACTGAGCACTGTCATAACCACCTGGACTGTATTTCTTCAAATCTTAATAAAATTTAAGGTTACAGTTTTTTAAAAATAAACTGTCAGTTATGTTTTATTTATATTTTATTATTAAACTTACCAGGAAAAGTTTATAATTTTTTATTAATTTTATTATCTACCTGGGCCTCAATGCACCTCTACAACCTGTTTACAACATTTGTATTTGTGAAGCCACAAAGATACGTATAAAACTTCAAATGTCTGTAGCTACTCACTTTTTTCCAATTCCCCTTTAAAATATGTAAATGGAGAAAAATATTGTAGTATACCAAAATTATATCTACAAAATTTACTTCTTTCTTGAAAATAATTGCTAAATAAGTACATTACGTTGAAAAGTTTTAAAATTGTAAAATGAACGGAATTGATAGGTATCTCTGGATTTTCTTAGCTCACATTTCAACTAATGCATTAATATTCAATAGTAAAATTATAATTATTTTGACATTATTTAAATGAACAAAACATTCTAAAAACAAAAATACAAATAATTGGTAATGACCTAAGAAAAACAAATTAATGGAAATATAAGTATTTTCAATCTATCACAACAATACCCTTAATAGCATTAAAGCACTGTGTTATCTGGGATTTAGTAAGTACACAGGACTCAAATTTTAAAGGACATTTAGATTTCAGAATTGTCTCTGGGGATATAGCATGATTAGGAATCATGACAGTAGAGATGACAGATGAACACACTTGAGAATCATAAAAGAATCACACTCTACTGTATTTAAATATGAGTGTAAGAGAAGAGAGGGGTAAATAATAGTGACTGTCTTCTGATTCAAACTGGTGGATAGATATTGCTTCATTGAAGTACACAGAGTTAAATAAGGTGACGATGAGTATAGTTTTGGGCATGCCTATAAGATATTCAAGTGGAGACATCCAAGAAGCATAGATAAAGTCAGTATTGAATTTATAACTAAGCTTAGGTCTTGAAACAAAAATATGAATTATTATTGTTCTTATAATAAAACTGGTTGGTCCAGTTTCTTCTAATTTCTTTTACTCATTTAACAGTTAATAGTACACAGAAGCTTTTGGTTTCCAGTCTGGTCTGTATGAAGTGTAGAAGCTTACTTGCTGTACTAACACCAAATAAAAAGTTGAACAAACTGAAAATTCAATAGCTCGTCTTAGATCCTTAGCAAAGTGAAGTCACAGGGCAAACCACTGCTCCCCAAACTGGAGAGACAGACAGGCGGGTATAGAGAATCACATCTTACTGGAGGGGAAACCTCTGCAGGAATGAGTGCCCAGTTAGAAAAGCCTAAACTTTAATTGGTGAAATGCTAGAAGTTCAGTGTGGAGAATTCTGAGAGTTAAAATCTTAGGGAGACCCAGTCATAGGCGTGGCCTCACCCTTTTCTGGGTTTTACCTGCAAGAGCCCTGCATTATCCTAGTTGGTTTTCCTTGATTCTGTAGTCACCTTTGTAAATTATCTTTTCATTAAACTCATTCATTCCCCCTTTGAATATGCCAATAATTTCCTCTCAGGATTTATGAGATTGTTGGAACTAGGAATGACTACAGAAAACAGATTTTTAAAATGAAACCTGACATTGGATTGCTATCACATTTTTAATATATACTATGATGTCCTCGTTGAAGGGAAATTACATATGGGTAAACTGGCTTGAAGTAACTCTTTTCAATCTTTTAATTATGGATGGAATGGGTTGCAAATGGAGGGCAAGGCAATGGCAGTCACACAGCTATCACTTAGTTACAAAGGCAGCAATCATGATTACTAACATTATGGCTTGAAGCAGCTACCTTTGAAAATTTTAGAGTTTATACAGAACAAGGATGAAAAAATAGAATGCCTCAGTGGCAATTCTGAAAAAAAGTTTCTTATCTTTTATAGTTTCAGGGAAGACATGTCTTAGAATCAAGCCCAGGGCTTAATTGTAAAAATTAAAGTTACAATGCCAATATATAACCCAACTACATTTTCTTATGCTAAAATAAGTACACTTGGAGGAAAAAAGTGAAACTCTGAAATACACAATGAAAAAAATCTAAGCAAGCATAGACCAGATGAGATGAGGCTGAGAATATTTATGCCGAAATTCTTCTGAAAGTTTTTTGTTAGCAAAAGCAATTTCTCCTTCTGTGGAGGAATCATCTTTTTTTCTGCTTAAAAGTATTGCATGTGAAGTGGGTAGTTACATCACAAGTACATGCTGATTCTCCTAAGGAAATTTTTAATTTAAATAATTGGCTCATGCACATTTGCACGGCATTAACATTCTCTAAGTTCAGTTGAAACATAAATTCAGCTGTGGCCTACCCGTCAGTTGAAAGGCAGAACTCCCCAGATATTCTTAGGAGGAAGGAGTATGAAAGCACAGAGAAATTGAATTTTTGGAGTGACTGTATTATGTACAACCTTCTCAGCCACTCCCTAACCATATCTTCCAGGTGGACACTCCTGGCATGCAAAATGATTTGATGAGGAACCCACCAGCATCATCAAATAACTATTGGTGTCTTCTCTGTAAATTAACAATGACAATAGAAAATACCTCAGTGGGATTAAGAATAACACATTTTGGAATGTTAAAAGCAATAGATGGCTGCTTAACCTGAGTAACAATTTGAATGCCATTTCAATATTAAACTTCAGCAACAAGGTTTTAATCACAATGTTTTGGAGGTTTGTGGCAATATTTAATTGAATATAAGATCCTTATTAATGAAAGAGATGGACATCTCACTGAGGTACTGCTGTAAACATGTAAGTGGAAAACCTCTAGGCGTGGAAAGCAGAGACCTAACTTCAGTAACACTGACAGGGATCCAGAACTCCTTACTCTATTCCCAAGTCTAAGCCAATCCACAACCAATCATCATTGATAGGAAACCCAGTTCTCTTGAGGAAGAACCATGCTGTTTGCTCACAACAGAATAATGTGAGTCTTTCCTCTGTTATTCTAAAATGTGAACTGCAGACCTCTTCCAGAGTGACACCACATTTAGGAAAGAAAAATTACACTGGGTTATCAGAAATTGTCTCTGAACTGAAACACTAACTCCTGGGGATCCATAAATCTACAGTGATCTAGCAGTCAAAGTCAAGGTTTATGAAGGAAAGATGTTTGATATAAGCCTTTGCCCAAATAGGTCTCACAGTAAATCCCATGAGACTGCAGATCCATCTGGTATTTGTTTCTCTATCCTAGAGTTCATAGCAAAAATACAAGTAACTGGTAAAAATGAGCATACTGCTTTCTGACCCTTAGAGTGAGAGCTACTTTGGTAAGAAGTGCCAAGCAGAGCCCTTCCAACTGTCCCTGAAAAAGTGAAAAATGACCATATTGCCAATTAGATGGTGATAACAATGGCACATCCACTTCCGTATGTGGTATCTGTATTGAAGCAAACTAACACAACTCCTGGCATGTGGTATGTAGCTATTGGCCAATCTTTTTTTTGAAATTTTAATCAACAAAAATTATCAGGAATAACTTGTCTTTACCTGGTAGAAATAGTATTACTCCTTTGCTCTCCTTTATTAGAACTATGCCTAGCCTCCCGGTCAATGTGATCTTGTAGTTTGGAATGATTGTCATCACCTTTTTATCTCACAGAACATAGAATACATTAGGCTGATGGATTGGATAGTGTGCAATTATTGGAGCAGATTTAATCAGTCTATTAAAAACTGTTGCCTCTGCATCTGACCAGGAGCTTAAGTTGCTGTACCTCTACAGGTAAGACAGGTGAGAAAAACTCTGGTATTTAAGCAGAAGTGATGAAAATATAAGCATTTATAAGGACAAACTAGGACCTATGAAGATAACTCCTGTCTGTTTCTCATTGCTGCCAACCTTGACAATAAAGGTAACTTGCAAAAGATGCTAACACCTTTTGTCATGAAGCTGCACATGCACCCGACTACGGGCTCAGTGAAACTAAAGAAAAACATCTGATAGGAGCTGGAGAAACTGTGGGCTTGACTGTTGCCCCATACCAACAACATGAACCAGCAGATTAGTGACAATGTACATGAGCTACAGTGGTGCCTGGCACACTGTACTATATCCACATTCAGAGAATTTTGCTGCTGCTTAAATTCTATATACCAAATCTCATGAAAATTCCTCTCGGGGCCAATTATAAGTGAAAACCATACAAGAAAAAAACTTTTGGAAAACATAGTTTCAGCCTGGCTATGTTGACACTATGCAAAACCATCACAAACTTTATAATCTTGCAGACAAAATGCTATTGGAAATGCCTGTGGCAGATAGGAATTATCTATAAGATGTCCAACAAACCCCAGTAGGACAATCACAGTGCAGACTTCTAATGTTTTTTAGTAAAGCCATAACCTCCTTTGCTGATAACTATTGTCCATTTGAAAATGGTCTCTGGCATGCTAATGGGCCATGGTAGTAGCTGAATTCCTGGCTGTGGGGAACCATGTGACCAGAGCTATGCAGCATAAATGGATCCAGTGAATCAATATCATACTTACACAGCAACAGCCCAGTGTGTAAATGTAAATTGTATATCTGAGAAGGTATTTGAGTAGATCCAGAGGCAAAAGTAAATATAAAATACAGTTGACTCATTATGTCTGCTCCTATTTCTTTGTTGTCTACTTTTAAACCAACAGATCTCATGAAGGATTCCTTTTGACCAGTTGATACAGGAAGAAAAACATGGGTGTGGTTTATAATTGGGTCTGCATGACATGCTGGTACCAGTTTAAAGTGGATGGCTACTGCATTGTAGTCCAGTTGAGGAAGAACTATGAAAGACAGTAGCTATAAAGGACAGGATTTTGGTCCTTACATCTAGCTTCCTACTTAATGTGGAAGAAGAGATAGTCTGAGGAATCGGCTGTGGGAAAACTATTTATATGTATTTTTCAGAACGGTCAAAAAATATAAGATATTTGTGTGCCGTGTAAATGTCTGTAGCAGGGCAATTCAAAATGAGCAGATGTTCAATAATAAGGTGAAAAAGATCACTTGTCCTGCGGATCTTGATAAATCTAATTATCTAGCCATCTTGCTGTTTGCTTGATAGGTTTATTTACAAGCTCTCCATGGTAGCAGGGATAAAAACTGTATATTGGCTCAATAGCATGCATTTCTCTTAATTAAAGCTGATCTGACCAATTATTATGACTGCTAGCATTAAAGGCCACTGTCCAGCCAGACCCTGGTGACAAGTTTATTATATTAGGGAAACTTTTCATCATGGAGAAGACCATTGTTTATCCTATGTGAATAGATGCATGTTCCACATAAACATTTCCCTTTTCTGTTAAAAAATCTTCTGCTATCCTCTCATTCAAAGACTTTATCAATTCCTTTTCTATTTTCTATCTTCCTACAAAACCTCAGCTCCGACCACAGACTACATTTTATGGTAAAGAAAATTTTCTTAGCCTGTTTGTGCTGCTACAACAGAATACTACAAACTGGGTAAATTATAAAGAATAGACATTTATTTAGAAGTTATGAAAGCTGGGAAGTCTAAGATCAACACACTGGCAGTTTCAGTGTCTGGTGAAGTCCTAGTTCCTGCCTCCAAATGGCACCTTAAATGCTGCATCCTCTGAAGGGGATGAATGCTAAGTCGTCACATGGTGTAAAAGATGGAAAAGGTAGAAAGGTGAAATTGGGCAAATGCTGCATGAAGCTTCCTTATTAAGGGGATTAATCTCATTTACGAGGATGTAACCCTTCTGACTTAATCATCTCCTAAGGGCCTCTCCTGTTAATACTATTGCATAGAGGATTACATTTCAACGTGAATTTTAGAGGGACACAAACATTTAAGACACAGCACACACACACACACACACTAAGAATACACTCACACCCACAGAATTTACTGTGGTGGCTTAAAAGAATAATGAATTGCCTTTGCTGAGGGCTCAGTTAAAGCATCAGCTGGAAATCAATATCTTGCAATTGTGAAATTCTATATTACTGGATGTTACTGGATGTAGCATACACCTTAAATGAGCTGCCAATTATATATATATATATAATTTTTTGTTCATACTCAGTATACTATAGTTAAATAACCAAAAGTTGGAGTTGAGAGTAGACCATTTCACAATCACAACTAATTCTGTGGTTCCTGTAATATGATTGGTTGCCTAATCACGAGAAATTTATCTATCTATCTATCTATCTATCTATCTATCTATCTATCTATCTATCTATACACACATATATTTTTGCAGCATAGATTTGCATTTATTCTATCTAGAAGTAAATTCTATTTATCTGCTCCCTTAAATATGGTCTGACTTTATGTATTTACTATGTACTCAGTACATATTTATAATCTACTGGAACTTTTTAAATGCAACCACAAACTTAATGTATGTATTTCTAAATGTAAATAACTTGAAAGAATCATTCTATATGATATGATAGGATAGACTCTTCTATTTTGTAGAACCTTAAGTGATTTGGATTTAAACCTATGGAGAAAGAAGGCATATACAGATGAGATGTCAGTGTGAAGGCCATTCCAAGATTATTTTAGAGGCAAGTTTGAACAATGCAAATTAGATCACACAAGAGAGACAGACTATGGAGACATTTTGAAATGTTGTAAGAAACAAATTTTAATTGAAGCAAAAAGGCAAATTTAGCAAAGAAGAAGATGTTCAGTAGAACTTCAGATGGTAAACTTGTATGGCTATTTTCCTGAGCATATAATGTTACCTGTGGAAGGGAAAAAACTTAATAATGAGCAGAATTTGTAAGGGGATGGGATTGGGCAGGAAATGGGAAAAGTGATGTGTTGTTTGTGAACGTATTGATCTTGAGGAAAAATCTTGTCATAAGAAATGACGAGGTAGCCGTAGAAAATATGTGTCTAGTGCTGAGGAAAAAGAAAGGGCTGGAAGTTCATATTTGAGAGTGCTAAGCTTACTGAATACAGGAAAGGCATTAAAAGAACTGTGATTTCCCAAACAAAGAGTAGGAACTAGGAGAAAAAATTGGTTATAAAACTATCATTTTAAGTATAGATTAAGAAAAAAAGAGTCAATGAACAGGACAGCAAACAAACGGGCTTAATGTGGAAGGAAAATGAAAAGAATCCAAGGTAAGAGAGGGGTGTCTTGCTGTTCTTTAAGATTTTAGGAGGATAGTAAAAAGAGACATATTAAAATTTTTTTATTTCTGGTTATGGTTTTCCAAATGGGTAATAAACAATATAGTGACATATAAGAATATTTTGGCAGCATTTCGTCTACTGATAGTAACTGCAGAATTTATGTTTTAATGCATTTATATTTTAGATACATGAAGACAAATCTAGGACTAAACCACTTTTAATTAAATTTAGCTGTACCTAAATTTTGGCTGTATTCCAAATCCCCCCCACTGTTAAAATATAAGAGAAATTGAAATGATTAGCAGCTTATACAATGAAACATTTTAGCAGGCAAACCATTTAAGTATTCTTGAAATGTAATTTCCTTCTCTTAATAATTGAAGTTATTTTTAAACATACTTCTGTTTTCAAATATATTTATTTTCTTTTATTTCTATTTTTTTTTCTATTTTGTAGGCATATTTATACTTGCTACAAAGGAAGCTAATTGCTTACTTTCAAGGAAGAATAGTGAGCTATATAAACCAAGTTAATGGTGTCTTTGGAGCCCTAAAACATAACCTAGTCTTTCAAGATTACTAGCCTAATGCCTTGATAAGGATTGCTGTATCTTATATTGGAAGATCTTCTAGTACATTAGATTATATTCAGACCAAAACTCCAATCTATGGACAATTTTTTTAATTAAAATTACTTAATATTACTTTTTAGCTTACAGCTACTTTTACATATGCAACATGCCATCAATTGCTTTTAATAATCAACTGAAAAGCAGAAAGTTAAGCATTTTGCCAGCATGTACATTCTAAACCATTTGAATTTAGAAAACAAATACTGACCTTGATATCTCTTCCATTTTTTTTTTTTTTAAGATGGAGTCTTGCTCTGTTACCCAGGCTGGAGTGCAGTGGCACGATCTCAGCTCACAGTAACCACCACCTCCCAGGTTCAGATTCTCCAGCCTTCCAAGTAGCTGAGACTACAGGCGTGTGCCACCATGCCCGACTAATTTTTGTATTTTTAGTAGAGATGGGGTTTCACTATGCTGGCCAGGCTGGTCTCGAACTCCTGACCTCATGATCCATCAGCCTCGGCCTCCCAAATGCTGGGATTACAGGTGTGAGCCACCGTGCCTGGCCTCCAATATTCCTATACTAAAATTTGCAGGTAAATAATAGTAAAATAAATTGCTAACTCTTTAAAAAGTCTTATTCAGAATACAATTTTGCCCAGGTTTTATATTCAAGGCAAAATGTAATCACTGAGATATTAAATTCTGTTCTTTGTCTTAAGGAGAAACATAAATTTTATATTTTAATGTAGTTTGTTCCTATAGTAATTCTTCTAAACCAAATTAGGCATGTGTGTAGGATTTATTGGTTCTTCATTATTACTATTATCATTTTTATTTTTATTTTGCCATAAGTTATTGGTGTACAGGTGGTATTTGGTTACATGAATAAGTTCTTTAGGGTTGATTTGTGAGATTTTGGTGCACCCATCCCCCGAGCAGTATACACTGCACCATATTTGTAGTCTTTTAATCCCTCACCCACTCCCACTCTTCCCCCGGAGTCCCCAAATCCATTGTATCATTCTTATGCATTTGTGTCCTCATAGCTTAGCTCCCACATATCAGTGAGAACACACGATGTTTGGTTTTCCATTCCTGAGTTACTTCACTTAGAATAATCGTCTCCAATCTCATCCAGGTAACTGCAAATTCTGTTAATTCATTCCTTTTTATGGCTGCATAGTATTCCATCATATATATATCCTACAGTTTTATATATATATATATAAATAACTGTATATATAGGATATATATATACACATCTATCTATCTATCATCTATCATCTGTCTATCATCTATCTATCTATCTATCTATCATCTATCTATCTCCTACAGTTTCTTTATCCACTCATTGATTGATGAACATTTGGGTTGGTTCCACGATTTTGCAATTGAGAATTGTGCTGCTATATGCATGCATGTGAAAGTATCTTTTTCTAATAAACACTTGTTTTCCTCTGGGTAGATACCCAGCAGTGGGATTGCTGAATCAAATGGTAGTTCTACTTTTAGCTCTTTAAGGAATATCCACACTGTTTTCCATAGTGGCCGTACTAGTTTACATTCTCATCACCAGTGTAGAAGGTTTCCCTGTTCACTTCATCCATGCCAACATCTACTGTTTTTTCGTTTTTTGATTATGACCATTCTTGCAGGAGTAAGGTGGTATGGCATTGTTGTTTTGATTTGCATTTCCCTGATCAATAGTGATGTTGAGCACTTTTGCATATGTTTGTTGGCCATTTGTATAGCTTCTTTTGAGAATTGTCTATTTATGTCCTTAGCCTACTTTTTGATAGGATTTTTTGTTTTTCTCTTACTGATTTGTTTGAGTTTGTTGTGGACTCTGGATATTAGTCTTTTGTCAGATGTATAGATTGTAAAGGTTTTCTCCCACTCTGTGGGTTGTCTGTTTACTCTGCTGACTGCTCCTTTTGCCATGCAAAAGATCTTTAGTTTAATTAGGTCCCAGCTATTTATCTTTGTTTTTGTTGCATTTGCTTTGGGGTTCTTGGTCATGAAATCCTTGCTTAAGACAGTGCCTGGAAGAGTTTTTCCAATGTTACCTTCTAGAACTTGTATAGTTTCAGGTCTTAGGTTTAAATGCTTTATCCACCTTGAGTTGACTTTTGTATAAGGTGAGAGATGAGGATCCAGTTTCATTCTCCTACAGGTGGCTAGCCAATTATCCCAGAACCATTTGTTAAAAAGGGCGTCCTTTTCCCACTTTATGTTTATGTTTGCTTTGTCAAAGATTAGTTGGCTGTAAGTATTTGGGTTTATTTCTCGGTTATTTATTCTGTTCCATTGGTCTATGTGCCTATTTTTATACCAGTACCATACTGTTTTGGTGACTATGGCCTTATAGTATAGTTTGAAAGCAGGTATTGTGACGCCTCCAGATTTTTTCTTTTTGCTTAGTCTTGCTTTGGCTATGCAAGCCCTTTTTTGGTTCCATATGAAATTTATAACTTTTTTTTTCTAATTCCATGAAGAATGATGGTGGTATTTTGATGGGGATTGCATTCAATTTGTAGATTGGTATTAGCAGTATGGTTATTTTCACAATATTGATTCTACCCATCCAGGAGCATGGTATATTTCCATTTGTTCATGTCATCTATGATTTCTTTCAGCAGAGTTTTGTAGTTCTCCTTGTAGAGGTCTTTCGAGTTCTTGATTTGATTCTCCACTTGGTCATTGTTGTTGTATGAAGGAGGTACTGATTTGTGTACATTAATCTTGTATCTGGAAACCTTCCTGAATTCTTTTATCAGTTCTAAGAGCTTTCTGGAGGAGTCCTTAGGGTTTTCAAGGTAAACGATCATATTGTCAGCAAACAGTGATGGTTTGACTTCCTCCTTACCAATTTGGACGCCTTTTATTTCTTTCTCTTGTCTGACTGTGCTGGCTAGGACTTCCAGTACTATGCTGAAGAGGAGTGGTGAGAGTGGGCATCCTTGTCTTCTTACAGTTCTTGGAGGGAATGCTTTCGACTTTTCCTCATTCAGTATTATGTTGGCTGTGGGTTTGTCATAGATGGCTTTTATTACATTGAGGTATGTCCCTTATATGCTAATTTTGCTGAGAGTTTTAATCATAAACGAATGCAGGATTTTGTGGAATGCATTTTCTGCATCTATTGAGATGATCATGTGATTTTTGTTTTTAGTTCCGTTTACATGGTATATCACATTTATTGACTTGTGTATGTTAAACTATCCCTGAATTCCTGGTACGAAACCCACTTGATTATGATGGATTATCTTTTGGATATGTTGGTGGATTCAGTTAGCTAGCCAGTATTTTTTAAGGATTTTGGCATCTATGTTCGTCAAGGATATCTATTGGTAGTTTTCTTTTTTAGTTATGTCATTTCCTGGTTTTGGTATTAGGGTGATGCTGGCTTCATAGAATGAATTAGGGAGGGTTCCTTCTTTCTCTATCTTGTGGAATAGTGTCAAAAGGATTGGTACCAATTCTTCTTTGAATGTCTGGTAGAATTCTGCTGTGAATCCATCTGCTCCTGGACTTTTTTTGTTGGCAATTTTTAAATTACCATTTCAGTCTCACTGCTTCTTTTTGGTCTGTTCAGGGTATCTAATTCTTTCTGATTTAAGCTAAGAGGGTTGTATTTTTCCAGAAATTGATCCATCTCTTCTAGGTTTTCTAGTTTGTGTGCATAAAGGTGTTCATAGTAGCCTTGAATGATCTTTTGTATTTCAGTAATGTCAGTTGTGATATCTCCTGATTCATTTCTTAGTGAAGTTATTTGGGTTTTCTGTCTTCTTTTCTTGGTTAATCTTGCTAATGGTCAATCAATTTTATTAATTTTTTGAAGAACCAGCTTTTTGTTTCATTTATCTTTTTGTAGTTTTTTTTTCTTGTTTGTTTCAATTTCATTTAGTTCTGCTCTGATCTTGGTTGTTTCCTTTCTTCTTCTGGGTTCTTATTCCTCCAGTTCCTTGAGGTGTGATCTTAGATTGTCTCTTTGTGCTCTTTCAGACTTTTTTGATGTAGGCATTTAGGGCTATGAACTTTCTTCTTAGTACTGCCTTTGCTGTATCCCAGAGGTTTTCATAGATTGTGTCATATTGTCATTCAGTTTTAAGAATTTGTTAATTTCCATCTTGATTTCGTTTTTGACCCAATGCTCATTCATGAGCAGGTTATTTAATTTCCATGTATTTGCATGGTTTTGAAGGTTCCTTTTGGAGTTGATTTCTAGTTTATTCCACTCTCGTCTGAAAGAGTGCTTGATATAATTTTAATTTTCTTAAATTTATTGAGGCTTATTTTATGGTCTAACATATAGTCTATCTTGGAGAAAGTTCCACGTGCTGTTGAATAGAATGTGCATTCTGTGGTTGTTGGATAGAATGTTAAGTCCATTTGTTCCAAGGTATATTTTAAAGGCTAGAATTAGTTGATTCTGTAAAAGAGATCCACATTTTCATTTCCTCAAGACGATACTACTATTTGAAGTAGAAATACTCTGGTTGCTGCTTGCTCAAATTATTTCATAACATGGGATTTATACTGATAAATATTTATGTTTTAAAAAATTTCTCTCCATTTACATCCCAGCACCAACTACCACTGTCTCACAGGTGGTCTTTTAAATTTTGTTAGAATATTTCAGATAAGAAAAGAGATTCCAAGGGAAAACTCCCCAGTTGAATGCATAGAAAATATGCAAAATAAATTCTATTTAAGTTACGATTTCCTAAGGTGAAAGGTTTGCAATTGGAGTTGAACTTGAAAGAGAAAGTGGTAGAAGGTAGGACATATTTATTTTCCATGTAAAATAATCAATTCAAATTCTTTACTATCCACTAACACCTTCATGATTTTTTTTTCTTTGTTGTGCTAGCAAACAACTCTCAAAATCTTGGGCAGGGTTTTAAGGAGAATACATTGATCTTAAAGTTCTTCAGTGACCTTTGTATGGAAATAACTTTGATCTGAACCATGCACATTCATTCTTTTCCTCCAGTTTCATTTTTGGAGTGTCAAAAGCTCGTTTTGTGCTGGTAATCAGGTGTAATATATTAGAGTCTGCCTCTATAAACTAGTATATCATACTAATATCTCACATGAAAACAAACGTTTTTGCATGCTTCCTACCACACGATGTATGGTACATAAAATAAACAGGGACAAAATATGTGAATCAATCTCTTTCTTCTCTTTACCTGTATCATTTTCTTCTATCCCTATTATAGCATCCCTATTCTGCTACACATTATAGTTATCATATTATTCATTACCAATATCTGTTTTCCTGAGTATATTTAAGCTTTTGAAGTACAAAGGGATTAGGTTTGATCCATCCTTTTATGTTCCACATTTCTAATACTCTACCTGACATATATTAGGTATCGAATTATGATTTGTTGAATTGACACCCTTCATTTTAAATACTTACATAATTTTAAGTTTATGATTTTATATGTTTATATTGTAGTGATATGAAATACTACATTGATATCAAACTCTAAGAAAATAATGCTTTTTAACTGCAAGTCAAAATATAATACCAAAATCAGGACTTTTCAAATAGTGCCACCTGATGATAATTGTTTGTACAACCATTTTTGTCCCAAGGTAATAAGCAAAAAAAAATTATCTCAATTCAACTGCAGTAGAATTTTTGATATTTATCAGTATAATATTATCGAATATACATTTTTAAATTGCAAATAACTTTAAAAGAATACCCCATCATTGAATTTCTTCTCTCAAAACTAGCAGCTGGAATAGAAATTAAATATAAAGAAAATGCATGCACTACATTCAGCATACAAATTTACATGGAACCATTCATCCAAGTTCTGCAAGGAATGGCTTCAAATAAGTTAGATTTTATTATTAGAATTAATTAGCTGAAGTTTAACTCTTCCATCTTCTCCTCTTTCTATTATTTACTATTTTTCCTGTTTCTATTCTTTACTTCATCCGTAAGCTCATTTATTAATTCTAAATTGGAGAGAATTCACCTAAGTGAAAGTTTCTTCACATTGATAAAGCTATGGCACTAGCAAAGAGAATTTGACCTTCATGGAAGTCACCACACTTTTAATCGAGCAGTAATTACAGAAAGAAGTAGATATTATTGTCACAAGAACTAAGAAGTAGCAATATTCAAGAAAGCATACTTTATTCCCTAAATATTTTCATACATATATTGCAAATTTCTTACTCTATTGTGCTCCACTATTATACACCATATGCTCTAGTGTATTTTCCCGTCTACTTGAAATTCATTCACAGTTATCTGCAGATGTAACCTATATAATCATCCAAGTCTATAAGACAAGGATAGCCATATTATTCCTTCTTTATATTTCTGTTGGAATGATCTTTAACACAAGGATTCTATACAATTTTGAGTAGGAGAAAGAGAAACTTGGAGGAAACATGTAGTGATAATGACTTTTGCAGTATTAGTAAAAATAGAAATACTAAATTAGTGTTCAGCTTGTGAAAATTCAAAATAGAATTTTTATAAGTTCTCAAGGCAAGCACAGGAAGAAAGGTTGGTTTTAAAAAGGATTCCTTTATCATCTCATTTAACTTATGGAGAAGCAGGTATCATGGATTAGATTACAGGGTACTACTTAAAGGATAACCAGGTAAGAAGAGGAAACATTTACTTTCTCTAAACTTGAGTACATGAGAGATTGTGGTAGATGATGGAGGAAACAGTAAGAAGCCTCCCTCCCACTCCCCTGCCTTGAGGTTGAGCCTAGAAAGGGATGGCTTTAGGAGAAACAATACAATTTGTGAGGCCTTAAACATATGGACATTTTATCACACTCTATACTTCGATTCCAAATACAGCAAAATAAACTTAATGCTGTCTATGATTAGGCAGAAAGAAGATGATGTTTATTTTTCCTGACTGGCTCTTGATGCTATTTTAACATGGATAGACTTAGAAGCATCTGAAAGACCAGTTGAGGGAGTTTTCAGGAGACATTTGCCCCAGTGGCTCCTCAGAAGCCAGAAGGGGTCCTTCTTGTCAAGTTCAAGAACAAATGGAAATCAGAATAAAACCTGGGCTGTCCTGAGCAACAGTGAGATCCCCTTCTCAACCAAAAAAAAAAAGAAGCTGGACTTGGTGGTGCACACCTGGAATCCTAGCTACTAGGGAGATAGAGGCAGGATAATCGCTTGAGCCCAGGAGCTCAAGGTTTCAGTGAGATATGATCATGCTACTGCACTCCAGCCTGGCCAACAGAGCAAGACCATGTCTCAAAATAAATACATATTTTCTGCTCCTTGTTGTATTTAAAAAAAGAAATAAAATAAAACCTGGACTCTATGTGTGGAGGATACTCTACATATATGCCAAGAGTTGGGGGAAAAAGACAAAGCAGCCAAGTAGATCTGCTGGGTACTGGCAAGTAGAAAGAGAAATAACCCAGGTGACACAAACCACTGTCTTTACCCCAAATGTCAGCTGGTTGGGCAGTGATCAAGCAGACAATGGATGTCTATTAAAACATAAGAGCCAACTAGAGAATATCTAGGCAATCTGAGTACTCATTATTTCCAATACCATAGCAAACTATTATTTCTTCTTTTTCCCTTTTGTTTACCACTGACTGTGTGTTTTGAAAAGAAAGTAAATTTGAAAACTCAAGCCTTTTTACCAGAAAACTTGAGTACTACAGAGAGGAACAGTTTATATTATTGCAGCAGTCTAAAGTTACTCCTACATAGAGGATAAGTGGTTTCTGAAAAACTCAAGATCAATTTAGACAGATGTAGAAACTAGATTTTTTTTGAGTACATTTGTTGGTAAATATTTTTACTTGACTATAGAAGAAACCTTTATACATTTTGATTACCTCAACAGTACAGTGAATTTGAAAGTGTTGAGATATAGTTCAGATTATGAAATTTCTCATTTACTAGTTCAGTAATTTAGATGTATGAGTTAATTTATATTGACACATCTGCTATGTTAGCCATTGTTCAAAACTCTATATGAATTACATGTGAAAATGTTTAGCACATTGCAAATTAGAAAAATAAATTAATATTGCAAATTTCCTTATATTTTTCTTATTTTTTATCTTTTAATCTACCCTATTTGTCCTAGAAACATATATTTAATCCCAAGCTAATTTCTCTAACGTTTACTAACATGAGTCTATACCCATGTTATAAATTTAAAAATTATGTAAGAATGTATGTTTTAGAGTTGTGGAGACATAACTTAATTTGGGAACTTCCTTCACTTAACTTTCATTCAGCCTGGTTTCACAACGTGTCTTTTGGGGGACCTACAAAATTATTAAACAATATACCACCTAACATTAAGTTTAATATTTTACTCATTCTTCTTTTTTCTATACTGTATCTTCCATTATGTTTAGTGTTCAAATATTTGAGGGAGTGGAATGAAATGAGTTGATATGAAACAATATATTAATAATAACAGGAAAGGGAACCAGTGTATTATAACAAATTTAAGCAGACATTTAACATTTTTCAATAATAGTCTTTGATTCTAATGTTTTAAACCAAAATTATATTTTCTATAGTTAGCACGCAATTTATAATATAACTCATAATATTAAAACTACATAGCATATAATTTATAATTAACTGAATTGTGTCATCAAGTTGAATTGTATTTGAAGGGCTAAGGGCTTTATCTTTACAGGCTTTCCTTGTTAATCACCATGAAACATTCCATGAGACCCCATAAAATGGCTCCTTTCATCTCTATTATCTACAAAGGCACAGACTATCTGCATCTTCTTCGTAGATGAGCACATGAGGTACTTAACCAATAAATATATGTTGAATACATGTGTAAATATATGAAGGATTAAAATAGCCTTAAGTAATATTATGGTTCCAAAGTATATAGCTCAAAAAGTGTTGTCATATCTGCCTTATATCTAACTACAATTTTTATACAGTGAAATTCACGTCACAAATATAAAATCTGATGTGTTTTCACAAAAGAATACTTTCAAGTAACCAATAGCCTCATATTTCCATGAACTCAGAATGTTTCCTCACGCCCATTCAATTGCTTCACCAGAAAAAGGCAAATGCTTTCTAATGCCTATCATCATTGATTAGTTTTGCCAGTTCTTGAAAGTATTAAAAGCAATCCTTATATAATACTTTTCTGGATATACATTATTTTGCTTAAGAATCAAGTATCTGCCACATGTTGGAAACAATTATTCAATTATGAACAAAACATATAATTTGCCTTCCTACAACTTGCTTTCTACCAAGGTAAGTGTATTAAATATCAAAATGGATTAATACAAAATTACTTGCTATGATAGGTACCCAGAAAATCTGAGGAACTGAGAAAAAAGTAGTGTGGATGAATAACAAGTGATTGAGATAAACAATGGCTAAAGATAAGATTTTTTAAATATACGTAAGATCACACAGTTTACAAAGAATTTCTATTCATCATAAGCACAATTAAAAGCTACAGAAAGATTAAGAATGAAACCGACATGGTCATATTTGCATTTTAGATGAAATGGATAGAAACTACCATCGTTATAGTTATATGCATCTAGTTGCTGACTTTTCCCAATGTACAAGGAAAATGTCTAAATGTTCTATCTTCTTGTTTTACTACCCTGATCATTTATCTGAGGTAACATCTACATTTCCATTTATTCCTCCTTTTCTATCAGTTTCATAATTACTTTTCCCCCCTCTTTCTTTTCATTTTAAGCTTATTCTGATAGGTCTTTCTCCTATTTCTTCTCTTCAACTTTCTTTTTTGTTTTTGTTGTTTATAGACAACTTTTCAATTCCACCAATGTGGATAAATTCATAATGATTGTTAAATTCTGGCTTCCCAAATATTACCAAACACATGCCATTGATATGAAAAAACTGAGTATACAGATTACTATGGTCAGACACATTAAATAAGCAGGAGGCCATTGGTTTAAGACTGTCTCCGTAGTTTGAGTTTCTACGTAATTAACTACAATCTAATTTAGCACATAAACAAACCAAAGCCTAACTCAGGAGTATATATATCTTTTGTAACAGATAGCTAGGTCTCAGCCAGTCACAAGCAGCCATGCTTCAGCTATTCATAGACAGGCAACTGATCAGACCATGTCCAAGTAAGGCAAACACCTAGCTGTAACCAGCCAAGCTATTTCTGTACTTTATTTCTACGTTCAGCCTAAAAGCTCACTGCCTACATTGCAGTATGGAGCTCTCTGAATCTTCTGATTTTGAGTGCTTCCTAATTTATGAATCACTCTTTGCTCAAATAAATTATGTTACATGTATTTTGTCTATGCTTTTTCTTTTAACGGGGAGAAAACACCTCAAAAAGATTTCAGTGTCTGGAAAAGAAGGCAAAGACAGAATTCTTTTAGAATTGAATGTTTGGTTTAATTATAGGTGTTTTAAATAAGTGAGGGGGTTTGATAAAGATTGGGTAAGAATCATGATACCATAGTCCAGGGTTGGCAGTAACAGCAGAGTGAGATTGTGAGATGAGGAATTCAACAAATTTTAGGACAAAATAAACTGTCTGTTTGCATTTTTCATTGAAGGCTTCATAAGACTTTCTGCAAGTTCTTATAATTAAGAATCAAACCATTTGCCTGAGCAGAAGATTCCTAGAAAAATAAAGTCATGCCAATGAAAACAGAGAAACAGCAAAGTCATGCTAATAAAGAGAGAGGAGCAGAACAATCTCATGCTAATATAGACAACTTGTGGTTTGGGTTCTGTGTCCAGGCTGTACGTAGGGGTAGATAATTTCAGGTCTCATTATTATCTCTGTTTTGTTTTATTCCCTCCGTCTTTCCCTTTTCTCACTCTCCTCCTCCCCAAAAATACAGAATTCCATAGAAAATACCTCAACCCTTCAGAGTTCAGCCCCAAAAGTGATTAATCCATGTGTGCTTCCCAATCTCTTCACAGTCAAATTAGTTATGAGGTTTAATTCATATTAGAAAACTGTATGACATTCTAATCAGAGCCTGGGAAATACTTCTTTTTAATTATTTAAAATGTCTAAAACACTTCAGATTAATACTGGCATTTTAATTTACATTATTAAAAATAAAGCTAATTTAAATTTTTTTTTACTATTATTATTTATTCAAAGGACACAAAAGAGTAATTTGAGGTAACCTGGTTGTGATCATTAATTTTAAGTGTCAACTTGACTGGATTAAGGAATAACCAAAGAACTGGTAAAGCATCGTTTCTATGTGTGACCGTGACGGCATTTCAAGAAAAGATAGGTATGTAACTCAGTGGACAAAGTGCAAGGGATCTGCCTTCAAGTAGTAGGTGGGCACCATCCAATTGAATGGGGGCCCAGAGAGAACAAAAAGGTAAATTTTCTCTGTCTCCCTCCTGTAACTGGGACACTCTTCTTCCCCTGCTCATGGACATCAGAACTCCAGACTCTTCGGCCTTAAGACTCTGGAACTTACACCAACAGCCGCCCTGGATTTCCAAGTCTTCAGCCTGGGGCTGAGAAATACAGCATTGGCTTTCCTGGTTCTGAGGCTTTTGGACTTTCACCCTGGTATGTTATTGGCATCCCAGGGTTTTCAGGTTGCAGAAGTTCTGTCATGAGGCTTCTCAGTATCCCGTAATCATCTGACTCAATTCCCCTAATCAATCCTATCTGCTTATCTATCTAATCTATTTATTATCTATCTATATCATCTATCTATCATCTGTCTGTCTACTTATTATCTATTATGTATCCTATTAGTTCTTTCTGTCTGTATTAGTCTGTTTTCACACTGCTATAAAGAATGGCCTGAGCCTGGGTAATTTATAAAGCAAAGAGGTTTCATTGACTCAATTCCGTACAGCTGGGGAGGCTTCAGTAAACTTACAATCACGGCAGAGGGTGAAAGGAAAACATGGTATGTCTTACATGGCAGCAGGAGAGAAGGAGAGATCGAGATGGGAAGTACCACATTTTAGAACCATCAGCTCTTGTGAGAACTCACTATTAGGAGAACAGCATGGGGGAACCATCCCAAGATACAATCACCTCCCACCAGGTCCCTCCTTCAACACATGGGGATTACAATTTGAGATAAAATTTGAATGGGGACAAAAAGGCAAACCATATCACTGTCACTCTTGAGAACCCTAACTAATACACTGGTTTAATACTAAAATTTCAAGAATTGTTATAAATAAAACAGGAATATATATTTGGAGACTGTAGGATCTCTTTAGAGTCCCTATTCATATGCACCATTATTTTCTTTTTAATAGTCAAAATAGGCTTGACTGCTTTAACAAAATTGGCCTTTTTTATTACTTCAACCTTTATAATTAATTTTGAAGTTAGACTAACTTTTTTTCCAGACTCTTCAGATGGTAAAACATATGGCACTGTTGTTGTTTAGATGAAGTAAAAGATAATGTGCTATTATATGGTTATTATGTAAATAGAGTTATTTGAGTCCCAGTGGGAGATTATTTAGGTCACTGAAGTAGCTACTCAATAGTTTTAAAAATAAAAATATCTTTGAGCAACAAAACAACTGTAGTTATCTTGAAAACTGACAATACATTTTGTTGGAACCTAAAGGTTGAATATTACACTAATCAAGAAAGAATTATGTTCTAGTTTAGATCTTAATTTCTACCATAATAAAAGTTGTTTACATTAAAATAGTATGTATGTTTTTTGAAATTAATGTTTTTGCTAGACATACCCAAAGGCCCATTTAGATATAATTTGAGAGAACAGTACTCACTACTTTTCTAAGCACCTACATTTTTGTACCGTATTTTGTATATAATTTAGGCTAACATTATAATTCTTACACAGTAAAATGAGTCCTTTCGTTCCCTCACTGCAGAAGCAATACATGTAATAGTCTGTAAGAATTAGTGTTTTCTAACACGTTCCTTACTTTTAAGTAATTATACAAACAGGAAAAGGTGAGCTCAGTATTTTCTACTGTGTAGCTTGAAATTATTTGGCAATTGTTAGATTTTTGTAAAACAACAAATGATGATAATTTGAATGTGCAGTATGAATGATAATTGTACTTTTCAAACAAATTATCGTTTGTTGAAGGTACCTGAGAATGAAAGAAATAAGACAGAGAGAGTGTGTCAAGAGTTCCTTAAATTACAACTTTAAGCTGTTTTAACTCATGCTTGAAGCATTTAGGATTCAAGGAAATATGGGTTATAGGCAATTGTGAGTAGTACAGTTACCCTCAGTCATTAGCAGGGGGTAGGTTCTAAAATCCCCAGTGGATGTCTACAAGCACATAGACAGTACCAAATCCTATATATACTGTTATTTTTTTTCTACCCATACCTATCTATGATAAAGTTTAATTTATAAATTTGGCACAGCAAAATATTATCAACAATAATGGATGATAAAGTTGAATGATTATCATTAAGTAAGCATGCTTCCTCTCTCTCTCAAAATATCTTTATACTTTTAGATTGCTGTTGACTGCTGGTAAATGGAACTGCAAAAGATGAAATCATGAATGAGAGAGGACTACTGTATATGTAATTTGGTAATTAAAGAGCGAGAGACTACTGCTTCGTATTGTTATGAAGGGGAGAGCAGGAGGATCCAAGATGTAGTACAGATGTTTGACACTCATAGTGATGAAAGCAGAAAGCAGGTGAATAAACAGATAATGAACTGGTATCTTGATAAACAAAAGATATAACTAGTTATCAGAAAATTGCTTTCTTGATGTAAGGGCATGAGGAAACTTATTCACAGAAAATAAAAGTCTTTTAGATGGCTTTATTGGCTGCAATGGGGCTGTGATATTCAGGGATATACAGTGAAAATAAATCCATGAGCTAAGAAGCTTCTTGTTGGCTTATTCCAACCTTCCTTTATTCAATTATCCACACTTTGAATTAATAAATACTATGTTTCTGGTCTTGTTCAAGGTGTTGGGGTTTCATCTAACAGGAAATGGTGTACTACAACTCAATTCTTGTGCTGTCTTAGTACGTTCCTGCTGCTATAAGAAAATACCTTAAGCTGGGCAATTTATAAAGAACAGAAATTTATTTCTCATAGTACCAAAGACTATGAGTCCAAGATCTAAGCATGGGAAGGTTGAGTGTTTGGTGAGAGCTCAGTCTCTGCTTCTGAAATGGCACTTTGTTGCTGCATCCTCCAGAGTGGAGGAACACTGTGTTGGTGGAAAGGATAGAAGAAGTGTGGAAGGGACAGAAGAAGTGTGGAAGGATGAAGGCTGCATGAAGCCTTTGGTATAAGGATCTTAATCTAATTCATGAAAGAAGAACCCTCTGACCTAATGTTTTCTTAAAGGCAACACCTCTTAATATTATCACATTGGTCAACAAGTTTCAACACCTAAGTTTTGGCGGGATCACATTCAAAACATAGAAGATTCTAACCACCCCCACCCCCCAAATTTAGCACATATCCCACAGATTAAGGGTTTGGTACTTCACGAGACTGCCCTTGTTTTAGATGCCAGCCATCAGTGGAGAGTCCTCGGGTCACCTGCACTTCTCACAAAATGCCTACAGATCGGGAAACAGTTGTGGGTAATGATTATACAATGATACAAATGGATTGTCTGTATTGCATAATTTAAAATTTTCAAATAAAGACATAAGGGATCATGAAACAGAATCCTACTGCAAGAAAAATTTTATTGATTAAATACTAAACTTGAAGATAAATGTTGACAACAGGGAAGAAAATGTTCAGAAGTTTTTATTCATGATGGGAGTAAGAAAAGGAAGAGAAGAGGGGTAAGAATTTTATCTAAATGGCTCACTTTGTAGAACTTGAAACCAGTCGGAAATAGGGGATCTTGGTAGAAAATATAGTTCCTTGGTTCTATATAATGATAATAAAATGTGTCTGATTAGAATGAAATCTCCGAGATTTTTTTTTTCTGTTTTGTCTATTCCATTCTTCTAGAATAGGACCTGGCACATAGAAAATACTCAAATTCTTAAAAAATAACTAACTAATAGTGCAAGCATAGTATATTCCACTAACAAAATGAATAAATACAACTGTATTGATCCAAAAATAAAAGGACAAGAAGAAAAAATAATATGAAAAAGTAAACATAGTAAGATTCAAGAAATATAATAACATGTCATTTATTCTGCTAGAGTGGAATATGTATATTGTATTCTTCCATTCATTAAATACCAAGTTTGTCAGAGTTAAAAATTTTGATGCAACTATATGCTATTGAAAAAAAAAAAGAAGAAATAAGCCTCTTAAAATAAAAATAAACAAGAATTTCTAAATGAAGGAGTACACAAAGAGACAATAGGCAAATGCAAATAAAAAAAAACAGAAATGGCCATATTCACGTTAAGATTGTTGGTGGTTAAGAACACAATCAAGTAGGATAAAAAGAGAGATGATATAATGAAATAATAAAAGTGACAAATGTCAAAGAAATGTAAAGATTATATACCCATACATACCGAACAGTATAGTGTTTAAACATAGAGATCAATGTATATTGGAAATTAAGGGAAAATTTAACAGATATAGTTGACAAAAGTAAGTAACAGCACAAAGGAATTGAGTGATAAAATGAATACATTTGATTTAATAGGTAAATATAAGCAAAACTGTATATTACTCAATATAACATATATATTTTTCATGTGTCTACTTTTGTAAAAATATTGCACACCACCAGTAGCTTAACAACCACATGAAAATTTTAAAAGGCAAAATTTCTGAATACCGTGTTATTTACAATATAATAATCAAAAGATGATGTGAATGCCTTAAAAATTAACAAACACAATAATAATTAATCCCCAGATCATTGAAATGAACTCAAAAGAGAAATAAATATTATACAGAAAAGTTTTTAAATGGCCACACTTTATACTAAAGCTAATGGACAGTCAATGCCACATTTAGAGCAAATTAATGGCTTTTGATCTTCGTTATTAAAAGAATAAAGAATAAATTAAATGATTTAGTATTCAACTGTGATATGCTTCCTTATTTTACTTCCCTAACACTCATTTCCAGTTTTTCTTTTGCTTGCTCATGTTGACTTCAGAGACTGGAAATGCATCATGCTACCTCTTCTCATCTTCCTTGCTTCTCAGGGTGTCCAAGTGCACACGGTTTTCACTAGTGACACATAAGTAATCTCTTATACGAATGCCAAAAAATATTTGCTTTCCTGATGAAATGAACAGCTGTTTCTGTGACTAGCCCCTTCCCAACTTATTCTAGTCTTGAATGCAGACTGATGCCAAGTTCCCAAATACAGCCATCATGTGAACATATGAACATGTGAAGAGAAAAGAGGGAGAAAATACATAACTTGCTCTACTTTGAGATGCACACAAGATATGTATCTACTGAAGCTGTGGTATTAGCACAAATGGCAGGAACTCTCTGAATGTTAGTTATAGTGGTTACCCTTAACAACTTTCAGCCAAATTTCCAAAAGGAGGTATGAAAGTTCTGAAAGCAGTCTAAAGCAGAGAAGGAGAAAATAATGCTTTGCTGGAGGTATGCTCTCAATATGTGGGCTGCAATCTAAGTGATTTAGAGCCCTATAATTTGTAGACCTGCTGGGTTTGAAAATAAAATTTGTGTACCCCAAATTGCAACTAGTCCAAGAAGCAGGGAAATAGCTGTCTCAGCAGGAGATAAGATTGATAAAATTAGGCAGCAGGTGGCAAAGGGAGGATTTAGGATGGGACCTTTTACCCAAGGCTGTCATTTTACACTGCCTTGGGGTAACAGCCATTATGGGAAGGTGAAGGGGTATGGATAGAACAGAGACCAGCAAGTTGTAAAAAAAAGAAAAAAAAACTTAGAAACTTAAAAAACTATGTTAAAGACTTAAAAGACTGTGTTAAACTTAAAAGACTATGTTTAAGAAAAATCCTTGGCCATGTTTATTTGCACAAAGACTGACTGGAAGAAAATACCCTTAAACATAATTGTTTTTTTGTTTTGTTTAAAAAAAAACATTTTGCAAAAATAACAGCCATCTTGACCTCCACAACCTGTAACTCTTCAGCACCTACTACAAAAGCTGATCATTCACCAGGGTAGGCATTCATCCTAAAGTTCATCTCCTATGGCCAAGACAGAAAATGGATAAGATAGATCATCCCAATTTCACAAGTAGCAGCCAATGACAATGAATAATAGAGTCCTAGATGGCAACAATAGGGTTGTAATTTGAGGAGGTGGACAGATGTGTGTGAGAGGGGTACCTATCAGATCAACTTACCTGGACAGAGCAATCTCATTTTTGCTCACCATCATAAGTTGTTAAGAGCTACGCATCTCTGACTGCCATATGGTTCTCTTCTTTCCTTCCTTTAATGGGACTTTTTTTCCTATTACCCACTTTCTCTTCAAATACTGCATTGTCAGTGTGTTAAACAAAGATATCATGTCATTTGGGCATGGATCACTAGAATAGGAGGAGCCAGTGACAATACTACAACTTACCAAAATATCCTCAACTTCGACTTTGTGCAGAAACTAAATGACAATTGGTGAGCAAGTTGTGTCTAATGTGCCCGGCAGCTTAAGAAAACATTCCACAAGCTTCTCCTTATTCCAAGCTACAGATCTCCCTTTTCTTGGAGCATTTACTTTAGATAATGTGTACTTTTAAATTATTTGTCTGCCCCTTTGAGATGCAGAAATTTTAAAGAGCCTCTGAGCAGTTTTACAACTCAGGAATGTTCTTCCTAAGGATCTTAGAGCCATGCCTTTGAAATACAATCATTAAGAAAGATAGGGCCCCTATCTCCCAATCTCCATGGGAGGTTAGGAGCCCAACTTTTCTGGGCTTAAAACTGCCTTCTGTCTTGAAAATAGGGAAAAGTTTATTTTCCATTGGAAAAAACAATTATCAAGCACAGATGGGCTAAGAACTGAACTCTCACTTCAGCTCTGTATATTCTCTTTTTCTTTCTTGATTATGTTGATAACTGGAGATGTTACCAACAAGAGACATCAGCAAGATAATTAAAAATGCATGGTTCTGCTACACTGAACCATGCTGTCAGCCTACTACTTTCAGATTTTGTGTGTGTGTGTATGTGTATGAAAAAATAAACTTCTTTCTTTAATAATTACTAAGACATTCTGTTACATTCAGCCAAAATAATTTCTTAATGACATTAACATCTCCAGAAACTGGAAAAGTAAAAAGAATATAAAACAAAATGTTGGACATGTGAAGTTAGTGATATTGAAAATTCCCGAGTCAGAAAAAGTTTTAAATATTAATTTAAATTCCAAATTTTAGTTGAGAGCCATAAAATCAAAACCTCACAAGCATGATGGTAGAAAAAGAAAGAGCAAAGATGGTGCTTAACAATGAAAATTAAAGAAAATAACTATAAAAAGTTACTGTGCAACTCATTAAATAACAGCATACAAATTACAAAAGGTGACAGAAAATGCCAAAAAAAGATTAGACTAATTAATCTACATTAAAAGAATAGAGTGTTTAATAAAAATGTGCCATTGAAAAAAATGCCAGTGGGTCAGATAAGGGTCACAAATGGAGAGTACTGGCCTTTTAAAAAATGAAAATTACACTATTATTTAAAATATTCCAGGTTATGGTAAAGATAGAAAAATCCCCAATTCCTTTCATAGAGGAAGTATAATTTTAATAACAGAATTTCACGAGTGATTTTAAAATCTTGTATAACATTCCCTCCCATGTTATACTGTAGATTTAAAAGCTCTAAATGAATGTTAACTAAAATGAAGTGATGATACAAAAAAATGTTACACTACAACAAATAGGATTTGCTCCAGAAGGTGCAAATCCAGCAAATAGGATTTGCACAGAAGGTGATTTATTACCAGGTCCATGCTTAATATAATTTATTTGAGCAATAAAGTAAGGAAAAAAATTTTAAGAGTATATCAATAAATATTTAAACATAATTTGATCATAAAACATTAGGTAGTTTGGAGTATAAGTAAACTAATAAAAAGATTACAAAATAAGTTTCAATTGTTATTCTAAATGTTAAGAAACTAAAGTAGTTTTATTAAATCAAGAACTGGACAAGGAAATTACTACCCTGTTAGAATTTAATCTTGTCCTCAAAATGTATTACCATGTGTTAATTATAATTTTTTCAAAATTTTAAAAGGCATGTTATAAACACTGTCTTACAAAGTTCTTAGTTTAATAATCAGTTCATTTCACTATAATAAAGCAGGTCACAATGCGTAAAATGAAAAATAAAGAATTCTGTGAAGAAATAGAAAATTAAATAATTTTTGTGAGCATTGGAAAAGCAAGTTATAAAATATCTCTTTGATGATGACATAAACATATTTCTAAAAAAAAGAGAAATCTGACCCATAAAAAACTAAATGATTAACAAAAAATATTGAACATATGGTAAAATAGTTTTTTTGTTCAAGTAAGAACACACTAGAGAAAAAACATTTTAAAAACAATCGATTATAGTAGTTAATACAAAAGCAAAAGCATCTAAAATTTTTGTGAATAATTTGAACAAGAAAGACATAGTAACTATCAAGAAATATATATTTTTTTAACTTTCAGGCTCAGGGGTGCATGTGCAGATTTGTTGTGTAGGTAAACTTGTTTCATGGGGATTTGTTGTACAGATTATCTCATCACCCAGGTACTAAACCTAGTACCCAGAAGCTATTTTTTTCTGATTCTCTGCCCCCCAACCATCCACCCTCAAGTAAGCCTCAGTGTCTGTGTTCCCGTCTTTGTGTCAATGTGTCAGGAAATATTTTACTGAAAGACAAAAAAATCTAATCATAGCTAGAAACAGAAAATAATGTACCTGAATGAAAAAAATTCGAAAGCGAAATATGTTGATTCATTTAGTGTTCAAATATAAAATACATTTCATTTTAATTAGGAACTTCACAGAGAAATTCTTGAATTGGATACAAATGAATACATTATAATTCCCATAGGAAACATTATAAATCTTCAAGAATCTTTAAATACAAATAAAAACATAATAAACCCTTAAATTGAAACTTGAGCAGTAAGGAGAAAATAAATGAAAAAAGATGGAAAGCCTCAAGCAAAACTGTAATATAAACACAGTAATAAAGAGAATAATTGTGAGGCACGTGGCACAATAGAGAAGATGACACTTCTACATTTAAATCAGGAACCCCGAGGGAGACTAAAGCTCTCCAACATTGTCTTCTAAATCCCAGCAGAATCAAACACAGTTCTCTCTGCAGGAGAGCATTCCTCAATGCTGACCCCTAAAATTTCCATAGATTAATAGCCTCCAAATATGAACTCACAGTAGAAGATGAAAAATCATGAGAGGAAACAAGATACAATAATGAAACGTTAACAAGCAGAGGACGTAAGTGCTAAGTTATGAAAAGCACATCAGACAGAATATAAAATAACTAAATATAAAATATGGATGACAATAACAGGGGGTCAAAAAACAAAACTATTGAAACAACGACAGACCTGGATCTAGCCATGAAAGAATGGTTTGTGCATAATCCTATTTCTTAAAATAGCAGTAGAAGCAGGGAAAATAAATAGAAGACCTGCATGAAGACAGTGAAGAGCAACCAAAACAGGCAGAACTAGATGTGCTTCAATGACTGAGAAAGGTCATTGTTCATTGCTCTTAGATGTTTGTTTTATTTATTGTGGTCTTTCAAAAGCAATATTTCAATGCCTATTATAAATTTTAAAAATTATATATATATATCTCTACCTAGCAATTCTATTTTAGGAGGCTTTCCCACAAAAGGTAGGACATCTAAGCCAGGTGCGATGATGTATACCTGTAGTCCTAGCTAACATGGAAGCTGCTTTATTTCTTTTTTAATTCTTTTTTCTTTTGTCTCCTCTGACTGTGTAGTTTCAAAAACCTATCTTCAGGCTCACCAATTCTTTATTCTGCTTGATCAGTTCTGCTATTAAAAGACTCTGATGCATTCATCAGTATGCCAATTGCAGTTTTCAACTCCAGAATTTCTGCTTGATTGTTTATTTCAATCTCTTTGTGAAATTTATTTGACATAATTCTGAATTCCTTCTTTGTGTTATCTTGAATTTTTCTGAGTTTCCTCAAAACTTCTATTTTGAATTATGTGTCCAAAAGTTCACGTGTCTCTGTTTCTTCAGCGTTTGTCCCTGGTGCTTTATTTAGTTTATTTGGTTAGTTCATTTCTTTCCTGGACTGTCTTGATAATTAAAGATATTCATCGGTGTCTGGGCATTGAAGAGTTAGGTACTTATTGCAACCATCGCTGTCTGGGCTTGTTTGTAATCATCCTTCTCAGGAACACTTTCCAGATATTAAAAAGTTTTTGGGTGTTGTGATCTAAGTTATATTTGCTTTAGGAAGCACCTAAAGCCCAGCAATGCTGTGATTCTTGATGACTTGTACAGGTCTGACCTTGATGGTCCAGGACAAGATCTGGGAGAATTCTCTGGATTATCAGGCAAAGACTCTTATTTTCTTCCCTTACTTTCTCCTAAAGAGTCTCTCTTTCTGTTCTGAGCCACCTGAAGTTCTGGGTAGAGTGACACAAGCACCCCTGTGGCCACCACCACTAGGACTGCACTGGGTCAGACCTGAACCCAGCACAGCACTGAGTCTTAGCCAAGGCTTACTGTACCCACTCCCTGGCTACTGCCTATGTTCTCTCAAAGACCTGGGGCTCTACAATCAGCAGAGGCAAAGCCAGCCGGGCTTGTATTCTTCCCTTCAGGGCATTGAGTTACCCCAGTCCCTGGGTGGGTCTAAAGGTGCCATCCAGGAGCCAGAGACTAGAGTCAAAAACCTGAGACGTCTACCTGGTATTCTATTGTCCTGCAGCTGAGCTGGCACTCAAACCACAAGATGTAATCCTTCCCGCTCTTCCATCTGCTTTCCAAAGGCAGAGGAGCCTCACCCCATGGCCATCGCCACCACAGGTCCACAGGGAATACTGCCAGTGTATCTCTGATGTTCCCTTTATGCCCAAGGGTTCTTAAGTCAATTTGTAGTGAATACTATCTGGACTGGGACTCACCCTTCAGGGGCAGTGGATGCCCCTCTGGCCCAGAGAAGGTCCAAAAGTGCCATCTAAAAGCCAAGTTTTGGCACGGGGGACCTCAAGAGCCCACTTTGTGCTCTACCCCTCTGTAGCTGAGCTGGTACCTAATGTACAAGACAAAGTCCCCTTTACTTTTCTCTCTCCTTTTCTCAAGCAGAAGTCTTCCCATAGTCACCACAGTTGAGTCTCACCTGAAGCCAGCAATTCTCAGAGCTTCATCCAAGGCTCTTAATATACTACCTGGGTATCACTGCTGGTTATTCAGGGCCCAAGGTCTCTGTAGTTAGCAGGTGACATATCCTGCCCCCACTGCATCCTTCCCTTCAAAGTAGCAAGTTCCTCTCTGGCCCAGGGTGTGTCCAAAAATGTAGTTCAGAGCTAGGGTCTGGAAAGAGGGCCGGATGTATAGTTCTTATGAAAATGCTTTTCTTGTGTAGATAGTTGCTAAATTGATGTCCTTGTTTGGAGGATGATTGATCAAGTCTTCTATCCCACCGTCTTGCTCCTCCTGGAGCAATTACTCCCCACTTTCTTCTGAATTATGTCCATTGCTAAGTCAGGAATAAGCTAATAGAGATCATTATATTAAAAAATACATAGTAAATTATTAGTATGCAATGGTATTTATCAGTGTTTTCTCACATTTTCCTAAATTGTGTGATTTGGAACATTTCTGTCCTAGGAGAAATATTTACAGATTTTCTTCAAATTAGCACTTCTCATTCCCATTTAAATGTGATAAACTTTATATAGTATATTACCTCTATAAGATTCACAATGCTCATTCATTTATTTAAGGTTCTAAAAAGTCCTACAATAAAAAAGTGATAACTTTAATTAACCACACATTTCTCAGCCTAGTTCTACCATAAATTTGTTCTTTAAACTTTGGCATAGTTCTTAACTTCTCATGAACTATTCCTTCATCTCTAAAATGAAGGCAGGATTTTGTTACCTCTAATGGTCTTTTTAGTTCTGAAATTATACATATCTAATAAATTTCCAGGACCAAGGTGGCAAAGGTCAAGGCTTAAGTAAAGCCTTGAAGATATTCTTAACCAGAATTGAGTAAATAATTGTATTTAGTTTTTGCTGCTGTTGTTGTTGATCTTGTGAGGACTCATCAGAATAGTAAGTTTTCATCTTGCTGAAATAAAGAGGTTCTCATTGTTCACTGTCTTAAATGACATGCTCATATCTACTATTCATTAATCTTTTTGTTAATAAACCATAGGAACTGACTTTATCCAAGGTCAATATTGTAATGGAAGATGGTGTTTATATCTCATAATTCAGTTTGGCTTAGCAGGGTTATGGTCATTCAGTCCAGTATTTATGACTTATTTTAAAAAGCCTCACGTAGAAGAAATCCTGGATATCTCTGGCTCAGTGTTTGGCAGAGCTTTTCCAAGGGAGAAATAGTATAAAAGCAGTATTGCATTGTAACACGGACTCTCAAATCAGATGTAAGTTTCAAGAGTTAGTCTTGCAGAAGTACACTAAGGATAACAGGGTTTGCTATTTGCCTTAGTATTACTAAGAAGCACATCATAAATCCTTGACTTCTGCCAAATAGAGAGAATTTTCATGCAGCAGCTCTCAAGTAATATGTCAAGGCCAGAGTTATTGTAGTAAAAGGAAATAATGTACATTATAATAATAAATAGTCTACTCAATAGTTTCCTGGTTACTTGAGTAAAATATATACAGACAATTTTGGTTAGTTGAATTGCTAACTCAAACACCAGTTTTCCCCATTTGCTCCAAAAAGCAGCATGGCAGTGGCAAAGCACTGTAATTCCTATATGGTCTTCTTGGTCTTTAATACTCTTTAAATGATGGTTGGAAAGAAATTAAAACAAGTCTCTCTTATGGAGCTCTAATGAAACATCCTCAAATCATTATAGGAAATCGAAAAAACTGATTTGAAGAACTAAATATAAATAATTTCACCGACTAAAATAAGATCACATAACTGAGACTAGGAATATGATTGTTTTTAAGCACTTAGAAGATTACTGTATACTGTCCAAATCACATTTCACAAAGATATTTTACTTAGCAATAGCACACATCAGAGGCACCTTTTTGGTCCAATTCAATAGGAAATTTGTATTTGATAAAAGAACTCTCATTAAAATCAATGTTTATCATCCTACTGCAATCTGCCATGAACAATTCAAGATAAATCTTCTCCTCATATTTTTATCAAGTAACTCTAGCTGGAAATACAGCCATCTTTTTGGCCCATTTATAAAGGAAATTTGTCTTCTAGAAAAGAGCTCTCATTAAAATCAATGTTTATCTTCTGACTGCAATCTACCATGCACAATTCAAGATAAATCATCTCCTAATAAGCTATCAGATAACTGTAGCTGTAAGTACATACTAGTGTGACACTTCACTCTTACAAGATAAAATCTAAAATGCTTAACCTATAATTCCATGTCACCCTCTATCTAGCAAAATTTTTTATTTCAATATAATTTTTCCTCCTCAATGAAACAAAACATATTCTTATGGACAAGTCTTCTTTTTCCTAATCAAGGATTTTGTAACCCAGTGTCCAACTATTTGTTTATACCATTCTTTCTCATAGGATATTGTCTTTATTTATCCACTCTTCTGACTATGACACACAATTTAATATATTAGAAGTCTACACCATCTATTAACCTTTCCTGATTCTACTAGGCTATAGTAAATAAATTAAATATTAACATGTCAGAAAAACAAATTATTTAATTTTAAACACACTACCTAAATCTATACAAGTATCAATGTACCTACATGAGAATAAGACTAATTCTCAATTTTTTGATCGCAATTTTATATCCAATTTTTAAAAATGACACCAGAGTATATTTTAACATGGACAAATTGAAGACATAGGTTAATTAAGATGTCTGTATGTGGTACAAAAATATGTACTTACAAAATATTATGTAAATGTAGACTAAACCAAACTTTTACAAACTTGAATACAAACTTACCACACTTAATATTTATTTCCCCAACTACACTATTAAGATTGTTCTTGACAAGGTCACCGATAACCTCTGCCTTACAAATCCAATCAGCATTTTCCGATACTTACCTTACTTGTCTGTCAACAGGGATTGATTGGTATTATTGGAAGTTGACCTCTTTCTCCTTTTTTAAAGCCCTGTTCTCCTTTAGTCTCTGTCACACTACAGTCATGGTTTTACTGGTATTTCAGTAATCACCCTTTTTCAGTCTATTCTATTATTTTATTTTTTCTGTTCTGAGTACTGAATGGTGTCATAACTTCATCCTGAATCTGAGCTTCTGTTCTCTCAACTTCTTCACAAGCTAGATCTTGTTTAATCATGTTTCAAACCACAAACTATAGGATAACTACCCAAAGCAAATTTTCAATGGGATGTCTACTAGGCATTTTGATCCTAGCAAATCCAAAACAATTTGTTTTTTTTTCTCTCCACATTTTTCCCCTTATAATCTTCCCAACTCAGATAAAATTACAAGCTCATTATTTACTTTCCTCAGAGAAATAGACTTAAAAAGAGCTCAATATACAAACTAAATTAGTTAATTTTATACTTCTGGCTTCAAGAACTGCAAGAAAATAAATTTTTGTTGTTTTGAACCCCAAATTATTGCTAACTTATTACAGCAGTAATAGAAAATTAATACAGTGATTACAAGAAAAATTATCTCAACATCGCAAATAACATACCATTAAAATATACTCTACCTTTCTTGTCCATATAATTTTGATTCATTAATATGAATGTTCATTCAATACTTACCAGACAATTGAGGAAAATATGCAAGAGAAACTTCAGAACGAACAAACTGGTATTCAGAATTTTGAGAAGATAGAGTTAATGTGAGAAATAGATAACAAATAAAAATATGTCTTCTAATTGATTAATTAAAGAAATAAGAGAATCAATTAAATCTATCAAGCAAGAACAATCTGTAATAAAAGAGAAGCAGTTGAAAAAGGAAGAAAACAAGTACAGTATTATACAAAGTGTTATGAAATGAAAAGTATGATATTCCCAGTAAAAGTAGTTATTTTAACCATTTGGGCTACTATAACAAAATATCATAAATTGATTGGATTTTAAACAACAGAAATGTATTTATTACAGTTCTAGATACTGGAAAAATCCATGATCGAGGTGACAGCAAATTTGGTGTCTGATGAGAGCCTGCTCTCTGGTTCATACCTGGCACCTTACTCAGAAGAGAGAATGAAGCTCTCTGGCACTATATCCCATTCATGAGGGCTTCACCTTCATAATCTAATCATGTTCCAAAGTCCCACCTGCTAATATCATCTCATTGGTAATAGATTTCAACATATGAATTTGGAAGGGTACACAAATATTTAGATCATAGGAGTACCGGTTGTTAGAAAGCATACAAATGAAGACTAAATAATGATATTAGTATAATTAAGAAACTTCCCAAAATGAATTATATTGAATCATAGTAAACTCTGACATCAGATTGGCAGGACACAAACATGGTCTCAACACCCACTTACTACCTGTGTGTTTTGAACAATTTATTAAAAGCCTTTATAACTTTGTTTCCTTATATGTAGAATGAGGATATCAGTAATAACATTCAGAAGGTCATTTTGAAGAGGTAAAAGGTGGTTGACTAGAGAACAATTAGTAAAATTCTTGCAAATTACTAAGTTTAATAAGTACAATTTATTATTAAATAGATGGAAATATAAAAGAAGTAATGGAGGTGGAGGTAGGTGGTAGCCTGTCTTTTGCTACATATGCAATTGACATTTTATGTATTCTACATAATTGCCCAGAACTTGTAAAGAACATCACTATTCAGAGATTAAACCTATTAAAGAAACACATTCCCTACTGCTAGGATTCCAGCAGCAACTATCATGTTTATAAATGTAGCAAATTCCCAAATTTGAATGAATAATCAATCAGTGATTGCCAGACTATAGAGGAAAATAAGTAAACAGTTAACATAAGGATCAAGACTGGATAACAGAGCAACCCAGGTAGGCACATCAAAGGTTTTTTTAAAATTCATGAATATATTTTATATGCAGTATTAATAGAGCTCATATAGCTAATCTAGAATATTCTGTAACCTCACATGAGCTTGATGAGGGCAGAGCACATGCTTTATTCTGTGTTGCATCAGCAGTGTCTAGGAGCACCTCCCATGGTGTAAACACTGGATGGTATTTTTCGAGAGTAATGAATTGAATGAACTACACATGGCCATTATTTGTGTTGTGTCACTATTGATAAATGCACCCCAAGTTCTAACTAATTACTTAAGGAAAAAGCCACCTGTCAGTCTTTGCCTTCTTGGCTTTATTCAGCTACGGGCAATGATGCTTGTCAATACTACATACCTCTTCAACCAAATTAGAACAAACATAGCAGTGTGCTAAGAACCTTAGATTCACAAGTGGAATTTAAGCATATCCTTCATGTAAACCCCATATTTAGTTTTCCTAAAGGATCCTCTGAAATTCTATGCTGTCATTAAAGGACAAATTTTTTCATATATCACTCTATTCATATAATCATAAATTTTCAGTTTCAAAATCCTGTAACAATATACCGTATTTGATTCTATCGTCTATAACCCCATGAAAGTAGTTGTGTCCTGGGTCATGTTTTATTTGATGGTGCTCCATGTGGCCCTAGTTTTGACTGTATAGATTTCTATACCAGATACAGAAGCACAGCATCCAATTCTGGGCATGGACATTCTCTCTGAGATATTTGAATATTGGTGTTGACCCATATGTCAATGGATACTGGAAACTTGACAGTTAATAGGCCACACTCATTGTGATTTCATCGCTTCTAAATTATTGATTTGTCATAAAGTTTTAACTTTTCAAAAATTTCTGATAGGGGGCTGGGGTGGAGCAAGATGACAGAATAGAAGGCTACACTATTTGTATGCCCTGCAGAAACACCAAATATTTACAACTGTCTGCACACAGAAAAGCACAGACACAAAAACCAAAAATCAGGTAAGCAATCACAATACCTGGTTTTAACTTCATCTCTATGGAGGAGTCATTAATGAGGGTCAAAGAGACAGTCCTTGATCACTGATATCATATCCCCTGGCAGTGGCTGAGCAGTGTGGAGAGTCTATGTACTTGGGAGAGGGAAAGTGCAGTGACTGAGGGACATTACATTGAAATCAGTGCTGACCAGTCATACCGGAGAGAAAAGCCATGCACTAGTGTCCGTGCACAGAAGGAGCATTTGGACCAGACCTAACCAGAGGGGAATTGCCCATCCCATTGGTCAGAACTTGAGTTTCTAGGCAACTCTTACCACCACAAGCCAAAGTGCTCTGGGGTCTCAGATAAACTTGAAACACAGTCCAGGAAACAAGGACTACAATTGCTAGGCAACTCTTAGTGCTGGGCTGGGCTCAGAGTCATAGGACTATAGTGGCAGGTGACCTAGGGAGACTCCAGCTTGGATGGCTATAAAACTGCTTGCACCACTCTTCCCCCAACCCTTGGCAGTGCAACTCACAGCAACAAAAATGTCTCCTTCCTTCTGCTTAAGGAGAGGAGAGCAAAGAGTAAAGAGGACTTTGCCTTGCATCCTGGATACCAGCTCAGCCATAGAAGGAGAGGGCACTGGGAAGAGTCACGAGGCCCCCATTCCAGACACTAGCTCCCAGATATTATTTCTAGACATATTCTGGGGTCAAAAGGGAACCTGCTGCCTTGAAGGGAAGAACCAAGTCCTGGCAGGTTTCATCACCTGCTGACTAACGGGTCCTTGGCCCTTGAATGGCCGGCAGCAATATCCAGATTATCCCATGCTCCTTGAGACCTGAGATGTGCTGACTACAGGTGTGAGCCAGCACATTCCCAGCTGTGGTGGCTAGAGTGAAAGACTTCTTCTGTTGGAGAAAAACAGAGGGAAAAGAAAAAGTAAATACTTATCAAAATTTAATGTGCGTAAAATTCAACTGGGTGGTTAATTAAAATGTATTACTAAATGCCACTACCAGAGATAATAATTAGGTAGAATTTTTAAATCATGGAGTCTGCATTTTTATACGACTGCAAAACATTATGATGCAGGTGGCCATGCCCCATAACATGCACTACTCAGTTCATAGATGTTCTTAATAGCGGAACGTCTTTCACTCACTATCACTTGGGAAATTGAAATCTGAATTCGGATTACCCCTGTGCCTTCCCTCAAGTCAATTTCTTCAACTTCTAAATGTATTTTTTATGTATTAACATATTTCTAGTAAACCAGATTTAAGCCAAATAAGAATGTTCACAATTTAAGGAAAACATTTTAGGAAAAGTAGGATTTTGTTTTCTGCCTTCAACAATATTATAATATTTCTAGATCGTTAGATACACTGTGTCTTTATGATAAATTATGGTCACTTAAAAAATGAAACAAACTTGGAATTTGAGGCAACCAGTGCTGTTATCTGAACAACTGATACATTAACTTATGTGTAGTTTACATTTGCTTCTCAAACATGATTCATAGTCTTTCATCAGGAAATGGAGTACCTTTCTTCTAAGCTAACATATTCTATTAGTATAATGAATTATCACTTTTATCTAGGGTATCAGCAGAAATATGACTCATTAATTATATGAACAAGTAACCACTTGCATAAATAATGGAGAAATGAAAAACCCAATAGCAGCAGCAACAGCAAAACCCTGTATTTTACTTAAACTGTTTTATTAAGCAATACCTATAAAGGTATTTTTTTTTTCAAATACATATGCTAAGACAATGAAATCAGGGGATTCAGAGAATTGAGACAGAAAATAATATTTTTAAATTTTTAAAATTATTTTGATGATATTTTTTCCAATTTGCTGTTAATATTTTGGTAGCCATTTACATTGAATAATAGTTCTTTGTATCTTGAATTTTATGTCAATATACTTCTGATTGGAGTCTCATAAAACATCAAATGTAGCATAATTTAGCATATGTATACACACTTAAATTCAAAGCAGTACCTAAGGATTCCACCTGCAGAACCTGTTTGCTCCTCATTATTGGCTTACAAAAGCCTGGTTCAATTGTAATGGATAGGATTAGGCTGTCAGAAGAACACTGCATGGAATATACATACCTTAACGCATTTTGCAAGCATCACTACATTGATAGTCAATATATACATTACATTTGAGAGCAACAGTTTTTGATAGTAAATCAAAACGTAATTTTATAAGTTTCTGAAGTTTTCCCTAGTTTCTTCACATTAAGCCAGTAGTAAAACCCATTATTGCTTAAAGGTAAGTAAATACAAACCACATCTATGAAAAACATTTTTACTGTTCCAAAACTTCTATTATTTCAATTTCTTTTAAGTCTGTTTCTTTTCTATTTAAACTTAAATACTGTTATAAACAGTTAATTTAAAAAATACACAATTATAAATTAATAACACAGAAACCATTTGACATTTGAGTACTTTTCCCTTGGAATTTCAAATTAGTACTTCTTTAGTGCTTAATTTAGTGCAAGTATGCTTTACCTAGAGACACAATAACCACACTGAAAGTCATGAACCATATGTAAGCTTAATGGCAATGAGATATTTAATGTGTCTCATGTGACATACTCTGCAAAATGGTGCTGCATGAATGCCAATACAATGTTGCAAACAGAAGATCAAATTCACAGACGTTTTACTATAAAAATGTCACAATATTTTTTTAAGTGAACTTAAAGATCATTGAAGTCTATAGGAAAAAAAAACTTGCAATGGAGGAGAACCTTGTTCTTCCAGTACATTAATAGTACTGTGTTTTTTGTTTGTTTGTTTGTTTGTTTTCCAAGATGGTGGATTAGAGGCTTTTAGCAGGCATCAGTCACTTGAAAATAGCAAGAGAGTACATAAAACTCTACTTTGTGAGCTTTAATTCAGAAGAAAAAATGGGAATCCACTTGGATCATGAAAGACACCCCAGATCCTGTGGGGGGAATGACACCAAACAGCCCCATGATGGCGTCTGGCTGATAGAGACTGAAACCCCATGTGCTAGAGAGGCAGTGAGCCTCCTTCTGTGACTCACCTTTCCACTGGGAGCCTGAGCAACCTAGGCAGACAGACGACACTTTGTTTCTCCCAAGCTCTGGAGGTAAGGTGGAAGAGGCTTGGCGATGCTACGAGGGAAAGACACCAGGAAATGCTGCAGATATTTTCCTAGGCCCAGGACTGAAAGCAGTACACCATTTTAAATCTGGGCACACACACATCAGGCACTCATAGGAGACCCAGCAAAGTGACCATGCAGGCATTTTGGACTCAGGCCGGAGATTGGAGCACCTGCTCTGGAGCTGGGCAGGGGTCTCCATAGCCAGAACTGTGGAAAGCACCTCAGCAGTAGGTGCTGGAATTGTGCTCTCCCCATCATAACCCTGGGACAGGAAGAAAACTGCCCTACTTACAGCTCATGGGTGCTGAGGCTTGAAGCCAGGGCCAGCCAGGCAATTTGGAACTGACATGCATATGACATCGCTGGGTGCTCCAGCCTGCTTCCCTGAAGTCATGGCACACCAGGGCCTTCTCTGCTTCACTTCTAGGCAGAAATCCAGGCATTTGGAGCACCTGCTTGCCTGAGCCAGCAGCAAGAACCACTCCACCCTTCATGGACACAGATTATACTATAACGGGGCTTTCTCTGCTCCATGCTCAGGCAGATCGCCAGGGATCTCCAGGTGACACCTACTCCACTGGATTAGGAGTTTAGGCCACCCCCTATCTCCATGCAGAATATGAGGCTGAGGAGGTTTCCCAGTTCCATGCCTAGGCAGACCTCTGGGCACACTTGGTGACTGCCCACTGGATTCTTCCTGAGCCCTGGTGCTTGTGCCAGCCATTGGAAGACCTGTATGTGAACTGGCCTGGCTGAGCACTGCTCTTCATGGCCCCACTCCCAGGGCTGAGCAGGGAGCTCAGACCACTGCATTCCACGAATCAGCCCATTGCCTGTGGCATCACAGAGATTCTCCCAGTAAACAGGAATCAAGTGTATACCTAGCTGCATAGGCTGCTACTGGCTCTTACCTACAAGCACCATTAACTGGCTTGTAGGTCAAACTGAACAGTCCAATATAAAACCTTTTGAAACAAGTGCGTAGGGCTATAGAAGCAAGCCAAAAAGTCTACACAGCATGCTCACATCCTCTAGGGAAGGGGCAAAGAGAAAGGGGTAAAACATAAATATACGTACTTACATAAAGACTATATAAAAATATATGTATTTATATCAAAGTATATAAAATATATGTTACATATATTATATTTATATAATATATAATATGTAATGTATTATGCAATGTATATTATATATTCTATAATTACATATTATATGTAATAATATAATATAATATATAATATATACACATATAATTATATAATGCACACATATTACATACAGAAATAAAATACATATAATTATATTTAAGTTATATATAATATATTATATATTATATAATTATATATTATACATTATATATAATAAATATACTATATATTATAATATATAACATATACATATATAATAATATAATATATAACATATACATATATAATAATATAATATATAATATATACATATATAATAATATAATATATAATGTATACATATATAATAATATAATATATAATGTATACATATATAATAATATAATATATAATATATACATATATAATAATATAATATATAATATATACATATATAATAATATAATATATATACATAATTACATATATAAATATAATATATGTAATACATTATGATATAAAAATATATATTTTATATACTTTGAAACAAATACGTATATTTTTATATAATTTTAATATAAATGCTTACATTTATGTTTTACCCCTTTCTCTTTGCACCTTCCCTAGAGGGTGTGAACATGCTGTGTAGACTTTTTGACTTGCTTCTTTTTTTTTAAATTTATTTATTATTATTATACTTTAAGTTTTAGGGTACATGTGCACAATGTGCAGGTTAGTTACATATGTATACATGTGCCATGCTGGTGCGCTGCACCCACTAACTCGTCATCTAGAATTAGGTATATCTCCCAAGGCTATTCCTCCCCCCACCCCACAACAGTCCCCAGAGTGTGATGTTCCCCTTCCTGTGTCCATGTGTTCTAATTGTTCAATTCCCACCTATGAGTGAGAATATGCGGTGTTTGGTTTTTTGTTCTTGCGATAGTTTACTGAGAATGATGATTTCCAATTTCATCCATGCCCCTACAAAGCTTGCTTCTATAGCCCTACCCACTTGTTTCAAAAGGCTTTATATTGGGCTGTGCAGTTTGACCTACAAGCCAGTTAATGGTGCTTGTAGGTAAGAGCCAGTAGCAGCCTGTGCAGCTAGGTATACACTTGATTCCTGTTTACTGGGAGAATCTCTGTGATGCCACAGGCAATGGGCTGATTCGTGGAATGCAGTGGTCTGAGCTCCCTGCTCAGCCCTGGGAGTGGGGCCATGAAGAGCAGTGCTCAGCCAGGCCAGTTCACATACAGGTCTTCCAATGGCTGGCACAAGCACCAGGGCTCAGGAAGAATCCAGTGGGCAGTCACCAAGTGCCCAGAGGTGTGCCTAGGCATGGAACTGGGAAACCTCCTCAGCCTCATATTCTGCATGGAGATAGGGGGTGGCCTAAACTCCTAATCCAGTGGAGTAGGTGTCACCTGGAGATCCCTGGAGATCTGCCTGAGCATGGAGCATGGAGCAGAGAAAGCACAATCTGTGTCCATGAAGGGTGGGGTGGTTCTCGCTGCTGGCTCAGGCAAGCAGGTGCTCCAAATGCCTGGATTTCTGCCTAGAAGTGAAGCAGAGAAGGCCCTGGTGTGCCATGATTTCAGGGTAACAGGCTGGAGCGTATATATTATATAATATATTATATTTTATATAATAAAAACCTTTATAATAAATAAATAAAATACAAATATATAAATAATATATAAATAAAAATTTATAATAAATGAAATAAATTTTCATACTTTAATTATTAAATAATTGTATTTATTTAAATTTAATAATTATTTAGTAATTATTAATTAGTAAACAAAATTATTTAATATTTTATTAAATTACTATTAATGATATAATATATTTATATAACTTTTATTAAATTATTACTATAAATTTAATATTTAAAATTATTTAATTTTAATATTTTATAATACATAAAATATATGTATTAATATGAATACATTTTATAAACATATTTATATAGAAATGTATATATAGCTTTCTTCGCATATAAACATGAAACGAAAGAAAAAGAAGAATATTCCACCAGCAATACAATAATTACAAAGTTTAGGATTGTCAAGGTCTCCATATGAGAAGGTATCAGCGCAAGAATTCTGGCACCATGAAAAATCTGAATGCAGTGACCCCACGAAAGGATCACATTAGCTCTCCAGCAATAGTCCCTAAAGTAAAATGAAAACTCAGAAATAACGTATAAAGAATTCAAAGCATAGATTTCGAGAAAGCTCAATGAGATCCAAGTCAAAGTTGAAAATCAACACAAAGAAACTTCTAAAACAATCCAGGAAGTGCAGAAGGATATAAACATCTTAAAAACAAATCAATTAGTGCTTTTGGAATTGAAAAATTCAATTGAATAATTTCAAAGTAAAATTGAAAACTTTTTTAACAAATTGAATCAAACAGAAGAAAAAATTTTAGAGCTTAAAGACTGGTCTTTTGAACTAACCTGGACAGACAAAAGTAAAGAAAAAAAGAATTCTAAACAAATGAACAAAGTCTTTGAGAAATATGAGACTATATACAGCAGAAAAACACATGAATTATTGGCATTCCTAAATAAAAAGGTGAAAAAACAACTAATCTGGAAAACATATTTGAGAGGGAATAATTGAAGGAAACTTCCCTAATTTTGCTAGAGTGTTGGATATCTAGATACAAGAAATCCAGAGAATGCATTTGAAATACTATGCCAAATGAACACTGCCAAGGCAGATAGTCACCAAACTGTCCAAGGTAAATGGTAAAGAAAAAATTTTAAAGGCAATTGGACAAAAAGGTCAGATCATATACAAAGAGAAACCTATTAGGCTAACAGTGAACTTCTCAGCAGAAACCTTAAAATCCAGAAAAGACTGGGGGGCTATTTTCAGAATTCTTAAAGAAAAAAAAGAATTCCAATCAAAAAGTTTATACTCTGCCAAAGTCAGCTTCATAAGTGAAGGAGAAGTAAAAGTTTTTCCAGACAAACAACAAAGTGATAAAGGAATTTGTTACTACTACACTAGCCTTACAAGAGATTATTAAAGGAGTTCTAAACATAAAAATAAAAGAACAACCTGCTAACGCAAAACACACTTAAGTACATAGCCTGAAGACCCTATAAGCAACCATACAATACAAACTACAAAGCAACTGGCTAACAGCCTCATGATAGGGTCAAAACTTCACATATCGATATTAATCTTTAATGTAAATGGCCCCAATGACCCACTTAGAAGGCACAGAGTGGCAAGTTGAATAAAAAACCAAGACATCCCAGGCAAGGTGGCTCATGCCTGTAATCCCAGCACTTTGGGAGGCTGAGGTGGGTGGATCATCTGAGGTTGGGAGTTCGAGACCAGCCTGACCAACATGGAGAAACGCCATCTCTACTAAAAATACAAAATTAGCTGGGCGTGGTGGTGCATGCCTGTAATCCTAGCTACTCAGGAGGAGGCTGAGGCAGGAGAATTTCTTGAGCCTGTGGGGTAGAAGTTGCAGTGAGCCAAGATCGTGCCATTGTACTCCAGCCTGGGCAACAAGAGCGAAACTCCATCTCAAAAAATAAACAAACAAAAAATAAGACACCTCCTTCTGTTGTTTTTAGGAGACCCACCACACATGTCATAACATCCATAGGCTCAAAATAAAGGGTTGGAGAAAGATCAACCATGCAAACAGACAATAAAAGAGAGCAGGGATAGCTCTTTTTATATCAGATAAACAGACATTGAACAAACGCCAGTAGAAAAAAAAAAACAACAACAAAGAAGGACATTATGAAATACTAAAGGGTTCAATTCAACAAGAAGACTTAAGTATTCTAATATATATGCATTCAACATTGGAATACTCAGATTCATAAAGTGAGTACTTCTAGACCTACAAAAAGACTTAGACTGCTGTACTATAATAGTGAAGGATATGAATACCCCACTGACAGCATTAGCAGATACCAAGGCAGAAAACTACCAAAGAAATTCTGGACTTAAACTTGATGCTTGGCCAATTGGACCAAATAGACATCTACAGAATACTCCACTCATCAAACACAAAATATGCATTCTCCTCATCTGCATACAGGACATACTCCAAGATCAACTACATGCTCTGTCATAAAACAAGTCTCAAGAAATTAAAAAAAAAATCCAAATCATACCAACCATAGTCTTGGACCCAGTGCACTAAAAATAGAAATCAATACCAAGAAGATCTCTCAAAACCATGAAATTACATGCAAATTAAACAAATTGTTCCTCAATGACTTTTGAGTAAACAATGAAATTAAGGCAAAAATAAAAAAAATTGAAATAAATGCAAACAGAAACACAACATATTAATATCCCAAGGATGCAGCAAAAGCAATGTTAAGAGAAAAGTTTATAGCACTCCAGGTCAACCTCAAAAAGCTAGGAAGGTCTCAAATTAATGACCTAACATCACATCTTGAGGAACTAGAAAAACAAGAGCAAACTAAACCCAAAGCTAACAGAAGAAAAGAAATAACTAAAATCACACGGGGGCTGAACAAAAATGAAACCCCAAAATTTATGCAAAAACCCCCCAAAACCACATGTTGGTTATTTGAAAGGATAAAGAAAATCAGTTGATCACTAGCTAGATTAACAACAAAAAAGAACATCCAAATAAGCACAATCAGAGACAACAAATGTGGCGTTACCACTGATCCCAAGGAAAAACAAAAGATTCTCAGAGACTATTATGAACACTTCCGCACATGAAAATTAGAAAATCTAGAGAAAATGGAAATCACAATCTCCCAAAATTGAATCAGGAAGAAATTGAAACACTGAACAGACCAATATCAATTTCTGAAATTTTATCCATAATCAAAGTCTATAAACCAAAAAAGCCCTAGTCTAAATGGATTATTCACAGCTGAATTCTACCATACATACAAAGAAGAGCCAGTACAAATTCTGTTGAAACTATTCCAAAAATTGAGAAAGCAAAATTCCTCTCTAACTCATTCTATGAAACCAGCATCAACCTGAAACTAAAACCTGGCAAAGACACAACAACAAAAAATAAAATTGCAAGCCAATATCCCTGATGAATATAGACATGAAAATCCTCAATAAAAAAAAAAAAAAACACGAAAAGAAAGAAAAAGAAAAACTAGAAAAACGAATTCAACAGCATATCAAAAAAGTTAATTCATTGTTCTTTTTTGGGCTGTCACATTGGTTCAGCATATACAAATTAATAAATGTGATTAATCACATGAACAGAATTTTAAAAAAAAATCATATGATCATTTCAATAGATGCAAAAGAAACTTTTAATAAAATCCAACATCTCTTCATTATAAAAACCTTCAAGAAACTAGCCACTGAAGGAACATTTCTCAAAATAATAAGGACCATGTATGACAGACTCACAACAAACATCATACTGAATGGACAAAAACTGGAAACATTTCTGTGTAAGAACTAGAATTAGACAAAGATGCCCACTCTCACCACTCCTAATCAGCATAATACTGAAAGCACTAACCAGAGCAACCAGGCAAGAGAAAAATATAAAAGGCATCCTTAGAGAAAAGATCTCTGACTGTCTCTCTTCACAGACAATACGATTCTCCACCTAGAGAACTCTAATGACTCCACCCGTAGGAAAAAAAAAATAGGAGTTACAAACCAAAAAATACAAATACTGACTATTGTATGTTACTTTAATGAGTATGCTTTATTTCTTCATTTGGCTTCAAATTACTGCTTAGTGTCATTTTATTTCCACCTCAAATTTTTTTTTTTTTTTTTTAGCATTTCTTGTACGGCAGGTTTAATAGTGATAAACTTCCTTAACTCTTGTTTATCTAAGAATGTCTACATCTCTCTTCATTTTTGAAGAAAAAATTGTCAGATATCAAATTTTTGGCTCACTGTTCTTTGTTTTCAGCACTTTAAGAAAAATATCCCACTTCATGGTTTGATGAGAAATTTGTTGTTAATAATATTGAGGCTCCTTTATACATAAGAAGTCATTTTTTTTCTTATTGCTTTTGAGATTATCTTGTTTTGTCTTTTGACAGTTTTACAATAAGTCTCAGTATACATCTCCTTGAATTTAGCCTACTTGCGTTCATTGAACTTCTTGGATAGGTAGATGCATACATTTCATCAGATTTGGGAAGTTTTTAGCCATTACGTTTTCAAATATTCCCTCTCACACTTTTTCTGGGGCCCCTACAACACATATGTTGATACACTTGATGGTGTGTTATAGGTCTCTTATTCTCTATTTATTTTTTGTTTGTTTATGCTTTTCAGACTGGTTAATTTCAATTGTCTTGTCTTCAAATTTACTAATTCTTCTGCCTGTTAAAACGTGCTGTTGGACATCTCTAGTGATTTTTTTCATGTATCTATCTTGTTTTTCAGCTTGATTACTTTCTAAAATTTATCTATTTGTGGATATTCTTTATTTGTTAATGCATCATTCTCTTGGTTTTCTTTAGGTCTTTTTCCATGGATTCCTTTAGGTTTTTGAGAAAATATAAGATAGTTGATTTAAACTTTTTCTTTTAAATACAATGTGTAGGCTTCTTCAGAGAAATAGTTTCTGTCAATTTCTTTTTGTAAATGGGCAATATTTTCCTAGTTTTTCATAATGCTTTAAAATTATTTATTAAAAATAGATATTATGAATATTAAAATATAACTCTGGAAATTAGATGTCTCCACATCTCTGGTGATTGCTGTAATTTCTTTATAAGGGGTGTAATCGTCTCTGTTCTCTTTTCTCTGTTGTTTCCTCAGAGTGATCCTATGTCCTCATGGAAATTTTCTAAATCCCTGGAGCCAAAACAACAACAACAAAAACCTCTCTTTGTGTTTGCAATCTAGCTCTTAACTATTTATGGCACATCTTTAATGCTTAGACAGGCCTACTGTAACTGCACATTTGTCTTCATCTCCTGTTTATATGGAGCTCAGCAATGAGCTAGAGGTGCCAGACTAGGTTTACTCTGAATTTGTGTCTGCGAGTTATATTCTGGATCTGCCAGTACACGAAGTATCTCTTCTAAGCCCTCGTTTCCTTATTATCTTTCTCCTTAGCATACTTTTCCAGGATTTTCTGTCTGTTTTCCCCCTGCCATGCCCACCATCTCTTGTCCTAGGTGACTACAGGTAGTATATGTCTTTAAATCCTATCAACAAATCTGTTCAGGAATCTACTGCAGACTCTGGGAAAGAAAATAAAGATAAGCCTCTGTGCTGATTCCTCTGAAATTACCAAACCGGTAAAAATGTGAAACCTATTTTTTTTCCTCGTTTTTTTTTTTTTTTTTTTTTTTTTTGAGACAGGGTCCAACTCCCATTGCCCAGGCTAGAGTACAGTGGCATGATCTTGATTCATTGCAACCTCGAATTGCCAGGATCAAACAATCCTCCCGTCTTAGCCTCCTCAGTAGCTGGAATGACAGTCATACACCACCACTCCTGGATAGTGTTTTGTATTTTTAGTAGAGACAGGGTTTTGCCATGTTTTCTGGGCTGGTCACAAACTCCTGGGCTCAACGTATCCACCTGCCTAGGCCTCCCAAAGTGCTGGGATTACAGGGGTGAGCCACCATATCCTGCCTAAAATGTAAATTTTGGGGGAACAAAGTTTACATTGCACCCTCCACTCCCCACCCCCACCCTCCAACCCCAAGGCACCAGCAGGCTGCACCAGAAACACAGACTACCATTTCCACCACTGATGCTAAGCTGGCGAATAGGGGTGGGCAGATGGGTAGGCAAAAAGTCACAATGCTTTTTTAACTAAAATTATAGCAGACTTTATCTTCATTTATCACTATCTGGTTGCTTTAAGGTTTTCCTTTTTTCCAGAGTCCCAAAAGAACTGATTAACTGTTTTCCAGCCTAATAGTTGCTTAAATTAGATGGAGTGCAGATGTTGGTTCTTGGAGCTTTCTATTTTGCCATTTTCTTTGTTGTCATTCTGGATTAAATGTTTAAGTCCAAAATTATTTTCCATTAGTATATACACTAAGTGTAGATAAAACTCCATAGAATAAGATTTAAAAAGCTCAGCTTTATATAAGCATACCAACCAGAGTTTTTTCCTCATTCTTATGACCATTCCTTATTATTTGTCCTTCCTTCTAGTGTGACATACTAAACTTTTATACATATAATTAAAAAGTTTTAAACATGTACTATACACTAGCTAGTGTGCCAGGTACTAAAAATATTTTGTCTCTCATCAATGAGCTCACAGTTTAAAGTAGAGGTAAGACAATACTTCTTAAATCTCTAGGCAACAGTTTGGAGAATGAATTTATGTAAAGAAAGACTGGTGAAAAGATCAGAAGACTAATGTATAACACTTGATTTATAATGGTTTTGAAAAATAAAAAATTAAAACAGACCACACTATTTTCTACTAATTTTACCAATTATTTAACATAGATATTAAGCCAAGACCTCAGAATTCTCCTACTATATAATCCCAATCATTACATATATGTTATTTATGACACAGTGGCCTAATATAGCAGATCATTTTTCTTACTCTTTAAAAATTAAGACAGAGAATTTTTAATAATCTAGTTTTGTAAGTTATTAATAGCAGAAGCATTTCAACTAACCATTTCTAAGGATTTGTTCCATAAAAAGTTCAATAAAGTCAAAATGCTATAAATAGAATATTATATTTTATAGTCTTTAAAAAGGTCACTTTTGACTATATAGCAAATGTTATGCATACATATGCTGATATGTTTTTTAAATTTTTAAAAACATCTAATTAAAGAAGTATTTTATTAAAATTAAGTTTTAAAGCTAGAACTCGTATTTATGCCAAATAAAACTAGATATTTATTCTTAGTGTTCCTTTACAGACAAGGAAAAGTTTGAGAATTACTCTATGTTGATAACTTTCCTTAATCGTTTAAAAGCTATGTTAACATCCACAAATGTTGTTTTAAGGAAACATGCATTTACTTTTTATCATATGCTGTAATCTGATGAATAAATGATTAACAGAAGGCACCAAGACTAAAATATTTCTTCTTAGAGTTCTGTCATTTATCTGTCACCTACCAGTAAATAATTCTATTTGTGAGTGAAGAACATTACAATATGACACATGGTAAAATAATTAGCTAGCAGAAATATAGCTTCCATTGTATTTAGATGTCATATGTTCTAGAATTTTCCATTGATCTTGACGGTTACCGTAGATGATATGAACAGTCTTGGGGAAAGCAGTACAATAATCTATCTATGTTAAAATAATAGAGGCTATCCTTTGGGAATAGTGGTAGTGAACTATAGAACCTCTCACAAGGACAGAGCTGCTTTTTCTTTCTATTTTACTTTTTCCTCCCTTAGCCAATCTAGATTTTCGACTCTATTCAGTGATTCATCCAAAAGAATTGTTTTGGGTTACTTCCTGATGATAGATGTTTATATCTTAAAACATATTTCCCAGATTATGTTCTTTTTCACTGTTATGATGGAAAAGATAGAACCTGTGTTTACATAGAGTAAAGCCAGTTTTATTCTTAGTGTTCCTTTACAAATCACGAAAAGTTTGAATATTACTCTATAATGACAAACTTTCATTAATCATAGCTTATATTCTCAACAGCGTTTTATGAAAAGAAAATTTCACTTAAAAGTTATGGTTTCTTTCTCTGTAGTTGTGTTAGTTGTGCATTATATATTTATAAATGTGTATTTTATAGACATCAAGTAATACATATTTTGAATTTATACAGTTATTAAATTTTTATTATCTTGAAGAGAATCAATAAGAATATTACTATTTTACTCTCAGAAGATTAAATGTGTGTGTGTGTGTGTGTGTGTGAGTATACACACATGCATGTATATATAATGCCAGTTATATGAAATAATTAATTCACTTTGGAGAGATCATTGATTATTTTACCTGATATCTAAACCTTAGCTCAGGGGAGCGTTTACTGCATATTCATTATTCAGAACAATATTTTAAAGATTCAAATACAGAAATATTTGAGTAGTCATTAGACATCAAACAACTTATGAAATGAGAAAAGTCCCCTAATCCCCTTGTAGGGCGAGCAACAGGGTGTGGCTGGCTTCTTTGATGCCCCTCTGCTCAAACCCCTAGGGGTAGCATGCAGAGGAGGAGGTCGTGGGGAGCGTTTTTTAGCTCCAACCCCATAGCAGCGTCTAAGGTTGAATGTTTAAGGCTCCCAAGACCCCAGTGGGCGTGTGTTAAAGTGTGCTCTTTCAGTTTTGCCATCTGCAGGGCTTGTGTCAATCACTCAATTAGACCCTCTGTCTTATTGCATGGAGAGAGCGCTTTCTGTTTCTTAGGTTCTTGCCTTAGTATACTGGAAAAATCCTATCACATGTGGTCTTGGGGGACGAGTGCAAGACTTTTTATTGAATAGTGGTAGCTCTCAGCAAGGTGGATGAGGAGGCCAGAAGGGGGAATGGAGTGGGAAGGTGTTCTTTCCCTGGAGTCAGGCCACCCAGAGGCCAGACTCTCCTCTGACAGAATTCCCCTCGGTGTCTGCATCATTCTGCCCCTGATGGCCTGCCAATGTCTGCTGGTACCTGTCTGTGTACTCTTCCACTCCTCTTGATGTCCAGACACCTATGTGTGTGCCCGCTAGGGTCTTGGGGTTTTTATCGGTACAGGTTGGGGGATGTGGTGGGCTGGAATGCTCTTGGAAACGCAACATTTGGGCAAGAAAAAGGAGTGCCTGTTCTCACTTAGGTTCATGGTCACAGACCCCAGGGTGGAGCCCTTGCCAGGGACCCTGCCCTTCTCTACCCAGCACTTCCTTGCCCTGCTCCCATATCACTTACATTTAAAAATGAAATTGTAGGGCAAATTTGATATTTCCTTGTGATCCATAATAAAAAGACTTGTTTAAATAAATATAGATAATTATTTTCTAATTTTATTTGGAAGAATATCTTTTTATTAGTGTTATTTTTGACTTAATGTTAAAATTAAGAAAAATAAATTGGTAGCATAGAGGCTGAACATTTGATTGGATGAAGAAAATTATAGCCACACATAAGAGTAATAAATAGGGGAGGGAGGCCGAGATGCTTGACTAGAAGCAGCTAGTGTGCACTATTCTCATGGAGAGGAGAAAGAATGGTCAGTAAATACTTGTTCTTCACTGGAACATTCAGGTGGACACATGGGGATTCATCAAGAAAGCAACCTGATCCACAGAGAAGGGAGAAGAGTGAGACAGGATGACCATCAACCCGCAGTGTCACGGAGATGGGGGAGGCTCCCTCACCCCAGGGAAACAGTGAGTAAGGGAGATTCTCCAAAGACTCATACTTCTGCCACAAACATTTGCAACTCTGAGCTTAGGAGATTCCACATGAGACCTCCAACAAGGGCCTCCTGATTACACGGAGAGCAATGTGGGGTCTGGGCAGAGCTGCTGCTCAGACTTACACAGAGTCCCAGGAGCGTTGGATCCCTGGGCATCTTGTCATTAGCAGCTGCTGCTCTGGCAAGGGGGTAAGTCAGGCTCCTTCACAGACCCCAAGAAAGGGGCTGAATCTATAGGGCTGAGCACCAATGGACTGCAGGCCTCACTTCTACCACACCTCACAGGATAATGTCCACTGGCCTTGGGATGCTAGCAAGGCCACCCCAGCCCCACCTGGGCTCTTGGGCCAATAGCAGCTCTGCACTTTTCTGGGATGGAATTCCCAAAGGGAGAGGCAGATCACTAATTTTTCTGTTTCACAGCTCTCACTGCTGTAGCTCTCAGGCTCTGAAGGGTGCATGGTGATTAAGGACTGGTGCAGAGCCCAGCACAGGGCAGCCACCCTACAGAAAAGCAGCCAGACCATTTTCCAAGTGATTTTCTGTTCCCACTTTTCCTGACTGAGCAGGGCCTCTTAATCTGGGACTCCAGCACAACTACCATGTACCCCTCTGAATACTTCAGTCAGAGAAGGCTCTACATTTCTCCAAGGAGGAAATCCAAGAGAAAACCCACAGCCCCACCAGACTGGGAAAGGAACAAAGAGTCTGGTCAATAAGATGGCACCTCTGCCACACTACAGCCACCATACACAGAGGAACCCAGGGCCCCTTCCCTGCTGCAACTGACAGCCCCTCTGCCACTGCCATGGCAGTGGTTCCGCTGCAGCTGCCCTCTGTCTGGGGAAAATACAAAGAGCCCTAGGGCATCACCTGAGCTTCCAGCATGCCACAGTTGCCTTAAGGAGAGGAGCCCACTCTTCCCTCCCTGTGAGCCCTTCACACTCCACTTTTCATCAAGAAGAGCCCCCAGCTCGGTCCAACAGTGCAGCCACCCCACCCCTACTGAACACTCCCAGTAGTAGTGGCTCTGTGCATCTCTGAGGTGGAGCTCGCAGAAGCAATTGAAAGCCCCTCTGCCACTTCCAAGGCTGTGATATTATCCTTGGTGCCACTGGACTTGAAAACGAGCAAAGACCCTGAGTGCCTTAAGCAAACCTCCAGCAAGCTGCAGTTGCCCTAAGGACAAGAGGCCATTTTGTCTCCCTCATGACCTCCACCATTCCATCTACTCATCACCAGGAAGGACCCCAATTTGGGCCCACAGTGCAGCCACACTACCCATCACACTGATTGATCTGGCTCTACATCTCTCTGGGGTGGAGTCCCAAGCAAAAGGCCCTTTGCCACAACCACTGCCAAGGACCCTTCCCTTGCTGCCTCCAAGATAGGGAGGGAACATAAAGTCTGAGCTTGCCCTGGAGCTGTGGTGGGCAGCCCAAGAGTGCCAAGCCAAAATCTGCAAGCAGAACTCAAGTGGGAGAGGAGCCCACCCTTTCAGAGCACTGAGAAAGAGCAAGGCTGCAATTGTGAGACAATACGAATGAGCCACGTGGCCAAGCAAAAGTCTAGTACTGACCAATACTCATCTGCACCATCTACTGGTTCACAGCCCAAACTTCAACATCAGAAATATTTTGCTAATATATTTTGAAACCAAGGACAAGAATTCAGCTACAAATAAATACCATGCATAGATCCCTAGTCCTCTGAAAACATACAGAAAAGAAGTTTACTGGCAGTACTCAATTTACACCTCAGTTAAAGGAACAGCCCACACAAATGGGAAAGAATCAGTGTAAGAACTCTGGCAACTCAGAAAGCTGGAGTGTCTTCTTTCTTCCAAACACCACACTAGTTTCCTAGCAAGGATTCTTAACTGGCTGTAGTCCCTGAAATGACAGATATAGAATTCAGAATATGGATAAGAATAAAGACCATTGAGATAAAGGACAAAGCCAAAACCGTATCCACAATAAGATGATACAGGAGCTGAAAGACAAAATGGACATTATGAGAAATAACTACACAGATCTGGTAGAGCTAAAAACACTACAAGAATTTCATAATGCAATCGCAAGTATTAACAACAGAATAGACAAAACTGAGGAATAAATTTCAGAGCTCAAAGACTGGCTGTCTGAACTAACTCAGTAAGACAAAAACAAAGAAGAATAAAAAGAAATGAACAAAACCTCCAAGAAATATGGGATTATGTAAGAAGACCAAATCTATGACTCATTGTCATCTCTAAAAAGATGAGGAGAAAGCAAGTGACTTGGAAACAAGTAAGGATATCATCCATGAAAACTTCCCTAACCTTTCTAGACCGGTCAACATTCAAATGCAGGAAATTCAGAGAACCCCTGAGAAATAGTACACAAGAAGGCTATTGCCAAGACATATAATCCTCAGACTCTCCAAAGTTGAAATGGAAGAAAACATGTTAAAGGTAATTAGAAAGAATGGGCAGATCACCTACAAAGGGAATCCCATGATGCAAACAGCAGACCTTTTAGCAGGCACAGGTTCTGCATCTCTACTCTCTACAAGCCAGAAGCGACTGAGGGCTTATATTCAGGATTCTTAAAAGAAAAGATTTTCCAACCCAGAATTTCATAGCTGGCCAAACTAAGTTTCACGGGGGAAGGAGGAATAATATATTTTTCAGCCAAACAAATGCTGGTGAATTTGTTACCATTAGACCTGCCTTATAAGAGGTTTTCAAAGGAATGTTAAGTATGGAATGGAAAGACCACTACCTACCACTACAAAAACATACTTAAGTTCACAGACCAGTGACACTATAACGGAGCCACACAAACGAGTCTGCATAATAACCACCCAACAACACAATGACAGAATCAACTCTGCACATATCAATATTAATCTTGAATGTTTAGTGAGCTAAATGGCTCAATTAAAGGCACAAAGTGGCAAGCTGAGTAAAAACACAAAATCCAATATTATACTGCCTTTAAGAGACCCATCTCATATGCAGTCACATCCCTAGGCTCAAAATAAAAAGATGGAGAAAATCTACCAAACTAATGGAAAACAGAAAAAGCAGAAGTTGCTATCCTAATTTCAGACAAAACAGACTTTAAACCAACAAAGATCAAAAAAGACAAAGAAGGGTACTACAAAATGGTAAAGGTTTCAATTCAATAAGAAGACCTATTATCCAAAATATATATCCTCCCATCACAGGAGCACTGAGATTCATAAAGAAAGTTCTTAGAGACCTACAAAGAGACTTAGATTTCCACAGAGTAATAGTGAGAGACTTCAGCACCCCATTTACAGTATTAGACAGAACATCAATGTAGAAAATTAACAAAGATATTCAGGACCTGAACTCGACACTTGATCAGATGGACTAATAGATATCTACAGAACTCTGTATTCAAAAACAACATAATATACATGCTTATTATGACCACAGGGCACATATTCCAAAATCGACTATACAATCAAACATAAAAAATTCCTAGTAAATTCAAGAAATGTGAAGTCATACCAACCACTCCCCCAGACCACAGCACAATAAAAATAGGAATCAATACTAAGAATTCACTTAAAACCATGTAGTTACATGGAAATTAAACAACCTGCTCCTGAATTACTTTTGAGTAAATAATGAAATTAAGGCAGAAATCAAGTAACTCTTTGAACCTGATGAGAACAAGAACACAACATACCAGAATCCCTGGGACAAAGCTAAGGCAGTGCTAAGGGGGGAAGTACATAACACTAAATGCCTACATCGAAAATTTAGAAGGATCTCAACTTAAAGACCTAATATTACAACTAGGGGACCCAGAGAAACAAGAGCAAACCAACCCCAAATCAAGCAGAACACAAAAATAACCAAACTCAGGGATGAATTGAAGGAAGTTGAGATGCAAAAACAACAACAACAACAACAACGTACAAAAGATCAATGCGTCCAGGAATTAGTTCTTTGAAATACTAAGATAGGTAAAACACTAGGTAGACTAATAAATAAAAAAAGAGAGGAACAGCCAAATAAACACAACCAGAAATGAGAAAGTGGATGTTACCACTGACTCCACAGAAATATAAAAACTACTCAGAGACTACCATAACCACCTCCATGCACACAAACTAGAAATTCTAGAATAAACGAATAAATCCTGGACACATACACCTTCTCAAGACTGAACCGGTAAGAAATTGAGTCTCTGAACAGAGCAATAATGAGCTTTGAAATTGAATCAGCAAAAAAATAGCCTTCAAACCGAAAAAAGCCCAAGACCAGATGGATTTACAGCCAAATTCTACCAGGTGTATCAAGAAGAGCTGGTATCATTACCACGGAAACTATTCCAAAAAACTGAGAAAGAGGGACTCCTCCCTAACTTCAATGTGAGGCCCACATCATCCTGACTCCAAAACCTGGTGGAGACGCAACAAAAAAATAAAACTGGCCGGGGCACAGTGGCTCACGCCTGTAATCCCAGCACTTTGGGAGGCTGAGGCAGGTGGATCACGAGGTCAGCAGATCAAGACCATTCTGGCTAACACAGTGAAACCCTGTCTCTACTAAAAAATACAAAAAAAAAAAAAAAAAAAAATAGCCAGGCGTGGTGGTGGGTGCCTGTAGTCCCAGCTACTTGAGAGGCTGAGGCAGGAGAATGGCGTGAACCCGGGAGGTGGAGCTTGCAGTGAGCAGAGGTCTCCCCACTGCACTCCAGCCTGGGCGACAGAGTGAGACTCCATCTAATTAATAAATAAATAAATAAATAAATAAATAAATAAATAAATAAAAACTTAAGCCAATATCTTTCATGAACATAGATGCAAAAATCTTCAACAAAATAATAGCAAGCCAAATCCAGCAGCACATCAAAAAGCTAATCCACCACAATCAAGTAGGCTTTATTCCTGGGATGCATGCTTTCATTCAACATAAACATTCATCACATAAACAGAACTAAAGACAAAGACCACATGACTATCTCAATAGGTGCAGAAAAGGCTTTTGATAAAATTCAACATACTTTCACGTGAAAAAATCTCAACAAACTACACATCAAAGAAACTTACTTCAAAATAATAAGAACCATATATGAAAAACCCACAGCTGACATTACACTGAATGGGCAAAGCTGGAAGCATTCCTCTTGAAAACTGGAACAAGAAAAGGATGCCCTCTATCACCGTTCCTATTCCACGTGTAATAGTACTGTTACTTCTGGACAGAGCAACCAGGCAACAGAAAGAAATAAAAGGCACCCAAATAGGAAGAGAGAATGTCAATCTATCCCTGTTTGCAGACAATATGATTCTATACCTAGAAAACACCATCATCGCTGCCCAAAAGTTCCTTCATCTAACAAACTACTTCAGCAAAATTTCAGGATAGAAAATTAACATAAAAAAATCAGTAGCATTCCTATACAACAACATCCAAACTGACAGCCAAATCAAGAATGTAATTCCATCCACAATAGCCACAAAAAATAATTAAATACCTAGGAATACAGCTAATCTGGGAGGTAAAAGATCTATAATGAGAACTACAAAAACTGCTCAAGGAAATCAGAGGCAACACAAACAAATGGGAAAAACATTCCATGCTCATAGATAGGAAGAATCAATATCGTTAAAAAGGCCATATTGTCCAAAGCAATTTACAGATTCATTGATATTCTTATCAAACTACCGATGGCATTTTTCACAAAATTAGAAAAAAAAAACCTTTTAAAAGTCATATGACACAAAAAAAAGGCTAAATAGTCAAAGCAATTATAAGCAAAAAGAACAAAGCTGGAAGCTTCATGTTACCTGACTTCAAACTATACTACAAGGCTACAGTAACCAAAACAGCATGGCACTAGTACAAAAACAGACACATAAACCAATAGAACAGAATATAGAGTCCAGAAGTAATGCCACACACCTACAACCTTGTGACCTTCAACAAAATTGACAAAAACAGGCAATGAGGACTCCTTATTCAATAAATGGTGCTGGGATAACTGGCTAGCCATATGCAGATGATTGAAACTGTACCCCTTCCTTACACTATATATAAAAATCAACTCAAGATGGATTGCTCATATTGGATATGGGAAATCTGTTAATCATTATTTTGTTATGATTGTTAATAGAACTTTTCTATGTGTGTTATCTACTTGGCTGATGACCTAGACCACAATGTAAATTTGACCAACTTAATCGATAAACATTTGCAAAGTTTTCAGTTTCTAAAAAAAAAAGACAAATTGAAGACTTAAATGTAAAACCTAAAACTATAAAAATGCTGAAAAATAACATAGAAAATATATTATGGGCATAAGACCAGGCAAAGATTTCATGACAAAGACACCAAAAGCAATTGTGACAAAAATAAATATTGACAAATGAGGCCAATTAAACTAAAGAGCTTATGCACAGCAAAAGAAATTATCAACAGAGTAAGCAGACAACCCACAGAATAGAAGAAAGTATTTGCAAATGATGTACCCGAACAAGGTCTAAAACCCAGCATCTATAAGGAACAAACAAATTCACAAGAAAAAAACAACCTAATTAAATACTGGGTAAAAGACATGGACAGATACTTTTCAAAATCATACATATACATGGCCAACAAGCATAGGAAAAAATGCTCAATATCACTGATCATTAGAGAAATGCAAACCAAAACCCAAATGAGATACCATCTCACACCAACCAGGATGGCTATTATTAAAAGGTCAAAAAATAACAGATTCTGGTGAAGTTGCAGAGGACAGGGAACACTTACACACTGTTGGTGAGAATGTAAATCGGTTCAACCATTGTAGAAATCAGTGTTGGGATTTCTCAAAAAACTTAAAACAGAATTACCAGTCAACCCCGTAATCCCATTATTGCCTATACACCCAAAGGAATACAATTATACTATAGTTACAGTATTGTTTCCCATTTCTGTTTTTTTCTTCTAGCTATAACTTTTAAAAAATATTATATTTGTCAACAGTTAAATAATATTGGGCTATCTATTAAATGCACATTTTTTTCTTGGAGGCCCACTTCCTGGACCTTTTCATCCTTTCTGTGCTGAGACTCCTTACTTCTTTGACCTGAAGTCCATCTTTTGTCCTGATGTTTCTCTTTACTGCCATCCTGGATCAAAGTCGCTGTTTTATAAATCATGATTTCTTCTCCTTTTGATAAATTCAGTTATATTGCTGAAAAACATTCTCAAATTGCTTCTAAGGAAGACATACGAGGAACATAGATTATCAGAATCTTAGTATATCTGAAAGTATCTTTGCTGTGTGGTTATTTGAGTAGGTATGAAATTCTACATTAAAAATTAATTTCACTCAAAACATTGACAGTAAATGTCAAGTAGTATCAGGCACTGTTGAAAAGTCCAGTGTATTTTAAATCATTGTGGTAGAACAGTTTTTTGTTTCCTCCCTCCCTCCTTACCTTCATCCCTCGTTCTTTCATTCTTCTGTTTTTTTTTTTTTTTTTTTTTTGCTTTCTAGATGCCTTTAAGTTCTTCTTTATATTTGTACTTCTCTAAAGTTTCACAATGATATCCCTTGGTGTGGTTTGTATTATATTTATTACGGCGGTCTCTTACAAAGTACTATTAAATATGTTCAAACTGGTGATTCATGGTATTTATTCTAATGGCATTGCGAAATGATTCAGATTCCCAGTTTTAAAGAATACCTGGCTAGCAGTCTCCAATGTGTTCTCCAGGTGTCTTCCTAAATACCAACTAAGATAGGAGAAGGTTAATTCTTCAAATAAAGCTAAAGCTGACAGGGTACTTAGTGCCAGAGTTGAGGATGAATGGGCAATACTCCATGATTGTGTTAAGTTATATGGCACAGTTGACCTTAAGATATGGAAAGTATACAATGGGCCTAATATGATAATGTGCTCCCTTAAAAGTAGAGAGATTTTATTGGATGTTAACAGAAGAGGAAATCAGAGAGATTTGAAAAGTGAGAAGACTTGTGACATCATTTCTAGTTTGAAGATGGAGGGTGCTGCACAAGAAGAAATGCAAGTGGCCTTAAAGGAGCAGAAAGTGGTATCTGCAGGCAACGGCAAGGAAATAGGAATCTCTGTCCTATCACCAAGAGGAAGTGAATTCTGGTAACAACATGAATGAGCTTAGAGGTGGTGTCTTTCCCAGAGCCATCAGATAAGAAAGAGTCCAGCTGATTTTATCTCAACATTCTGATTTCAGCCTAGTGAGTCCCCAAGCATACAACACAGGTAATTCTATCTGGGCTTCTAGTTTATAGAACTGTGAGCCAACATACATTTCTACACAGATAAAACTACATTTTCTGTTCCCCCCCCCACCCCGCCCCATGACTAGGTTATTTGATATAGTTCTAGTTAATATAATTTTCTTAAAATAATTAATATAGAACCTTCTGAGAAATTTTCTTGTAAGATGGCTTATATGAATTCTTTGACCCTTTATGCCCCTCCACCATTTCCCCAGGGATTCGTATGTTACAGTTGACCATATAACTTAGATACCATTTGAGAATGAGAGGCATACCCTTGATATTTATGAGCAGAATCTTGGAATCTGAAACCTGAAAATTTTGTGTAACAGACCTGTCTGTCATTTAGACTTGAGGATAGAACCCCCACGTTTTTACAAGAAAGAGAAGAAAATTTTGATTTTGTTTAAGCCAATAATATCTAAAGTCTGTCTTTCTTTTAGTTTAACCTAGTAGTAACTTTTGGATCTTCTCTGGTTATGCCAGTACAAGATCATCTGCCCTCTTTATTTCCTGTTATTTTACCTCTACCTAGCATAACATTATTAGTGTTTACAGAGATCTAAATTTGCATTTAATTACCACGATGGTGTGTGCCTATGGCCAAAAAGACATAGCCATAACGAATCCATAACAAAAAGAAAAGTTATTCATCATAGGTAAAATGAATATATTTTACCACCATCAAATGAGAACAGTCAAGCCCTCTGCTCACTGCTTCAGTGAGTTGCATATATAAAGATGAATGAGAATAGTACCTCCAATCAAATACTGTATGTCAAAAGACCCACAGGGCAAAGAAATTGTGCTTTAAATAATGAGAAGCTTGTGCACATAATGTCCTCACGTACCATTTGTATTGAGATTAGATTTGTATTTGGTATAGGCAAGAGTTTCTGGTCATGCATCTGCAAACTCATTTGCACAGAAAAATGTCTGTGGGTTCAAAGGTTTTATTGAGGTGATATCCATGAACTTAGCTTCTATAAGGTATTCAAAGGTGAAATGGAAAAATAACCTATACACCAAATCAAAACCGTTTCTTTGAGTAGAGAATGTTTCAACTAAAAAAAAAAACAAACAATTATGGCAGGGCGTGGTGGCTCATGCCTGTAATCCCAGCACTTTGAGAGGCCAAGGCGAATGGATCGCTTTGAGCTCAGGAATTCCAGACCAGCCTGAGCAACATGGGGAAACCTCACCTCTAAAACAAAATACAAAAATCAGCCAGATATGGTGGTGCCCACCTGTGGTTCCAGCTACTTGGAAGGCTGAGGCTGCAGAATCGCTTGAATTCAGGAGATGGAGGTTAAAGTGAACCAAGATGGCTCCACTGTACTCCAGCCTGTGCGACAGAGTGAGATCATGTCTAAAAAAATAAATAAATAAAATTAAAATAATCTGAAAAATTGTATCTTATATAAACTTATTTTTTAATGGAATAAAATTTTAAGTGTGGGATTAGTCATTATTATTATTATTATTATTATTATTATTTTGCTCAAGTCTTGAAGATCACTCAGTTTATTGGATAATGTTTAAGTTATATTTAATAATGTATCATTTTCTTAAAAATGTGTGGTGTCACATGGCTGAAATACTGTTATTGATTTTGAAACCTATTTAGGCAAAAGTTTATGACATATTTTTCAAAGAAGCTACTATTCCAAAATCAGCACAGGTAAAATTCAGTATAAGCTTGTTTAAGAAGAGAGAATATAGTTAATTAATTTTGTATTTTCAGCTAACTAAAAAGCAGTTTATTCATACAATTCTTCAGTAAATTAACACCTAATTCTTGATGCAGGCATTGCTTAATACATAGTCAGTGACATTCAAATTTTGAATTTGAAGTTACATTACATTTTTCCACTTACATGAGAGTTTACTGATTTTGCAAAATAGCAATAATAACCATTATCTTAGTAACTATTATTCCAGAAATGCATGGCAGCAGAAGGTACACAGGCTTTTAGAAAATTTGACAAAATGTATAGAAAAAATATGGCTTCAGCCTACCCATGAAAATTTAGTAAATACATACATATATATATATGTGTGTGTGTGTGTGTGTCTGTGTATGTGACATATGGAATTTGTTAGTGTATATATATGTATATATGTGATATATGGTATTTGTTAGGCTGTGCTTATGCAATGGGTATAGAAAGATAAATAAGATATGATTACTTAAAATGTTACTTATTTTGCAATCTCCATAAAGAATAAAAACATACCGAGAGTAAAAGTCACGAACCTTCAATTTGGAGCGATTTGAATGAAACATTAATTTCAAGGTTACTGCTGAAAGTTACTACTCCTTTTGGACACATAAATGCCTGAGGAAAATGCCAGAGCAACAGGAGAGTAAACCCTTGGGACTAACTTCCAATATCTGACAAGACGTGAGAGCTATGATGCTATACATATACCTAATGAGCTTCCAGGAAGACCTTTAGACAAATATTGGGCAATAGGAGCTGTTATCATAAAAAATATTAATTCACCTGGGAAGGAGATTAATTGTGAGCAAAGCACCTCTCTGCTTTCTATAATGTAAGAAAGGCCAGGATATTGGGGCAAGTTTCTCTTTTCCTTGAGATCATTTTCTTCCTTACAGCTTCACCCCTTAGAATTCAGGTGACCCCTAGATTCCTACTTCTGTTCTTACCCCTCATGTCCGGAGTTTCTGGATGTATGCCAAGGTAAACTTAGAGCTGGAAAGACTCATAGTCACCACATACCTAAGCCTATCTTATTAGAGGACACTTTGGATTAAATATTTTTTCTGTAACTACAATTCAGACAGCTAAATCAGTCCCTGGTATCTAGGAAGATATAAAAGAGGAATCTCATAGAGGCATCAAAGGCTGTTATGAAAACGTAGCTTTGAAATATTGACAGGGACTTTTGAGCTCATCCCACTTAAAACCGCAAGATGAGAAAATAAAAGACCACAGAAATTGTGTGACTCACCTAACTAGAAAATAATGCCACATAGTGAGGCACATAAAATCTACAGGATCCTACCTTACACTAACATTTTTACTTGTCTGTTTTTTTTTTTAATCAACATCTCTCAATAAAATTGTCAGACGCTTAGTATTGGGCTGATCAATTTTAAATCTTATTTTACTTTTGCTACACTAGATGAAGATTTCAATTACTTTTACCATCTCCCAGCTATATTTCCCCTATATATAGGTTACCTGTGTAAAACAGGTGACATCGTTAATGCCTATTGGTTAATAGTTTTCCCATAGCCAGTATCACTTGATTCACCTTTATCCTGCTATCTACCTTCCAAATTTTATTAACTTTATGTTTACATTTTATTGTCAAAGTTAATATTTTCCCTCTGTATTATTATTCATTTGTAAAGGGTGTTCAGTGCAAAGACCATTAGTATATTTTATATATTGTTCTCTAAGTTTAGAATGCTATATCTTTTAGTTTTATTCAAAAGATAATATTTTTAATGAAAACGTGACATGAATTTTCCATTTTCCGTTTCCTGGATTTTACCATAATGTCTATCACTATGGAGCTGAACAATAGGTGGGAAAACATTTACAGTTTCTGGGGGAGAAAAACAATGTTGTTACTCTGCAAATGTATTATTTGGTATAAACTATATTTTTGTTACACTATTTTCACACTTCTAAAATGAGAGGTTCAGTTAAGAGAATTTCCAGTTTGTTTCTAGTTCTAAAATTATATGACTTTGAATTAAATTCGATTAAGTCTAATTTTATGTTATTCTAACTAGTTTCTCACTAATTTACCACATGAAGTATTCAATCATCCAGAATTTCAAACATATTCAGAAAATAAGTTATATGTTGAATCTGTTGATATTTTTAAAACTTTTTTATTGGGGTATAAATTACCTAAAATAAAATGCCTGGACACATTTAAAGTGGTTTATTGTATTAACTTCTTCATTAATATATCTGCTCCTCAACACTCATTACCCCACCCAGACCATTCAGCACATCATCTAGAAATAAATATCCCTACTATTAATTTTATTGTCTTTCTTGCTTAAAAATAGTAATACCCTCTTACTAGCATAAAGTTTGAAGCCTAAAACTACAAATTTTCTCATCACCCTACCTATCCAAACAAATATTTCAGCACTCACAAAGAGAAGCCCTTAACTTTAGCCAACATATAACCATCATTTCTTCCCTTGACCCTGAGCCTTACGTTATTGATGCCTTTTCCGTATGCCTTTAAGTTGATTTCTACATAAGGAAAATGCCCGCAAATTATTGACTGGGGACTTTCTTTTTTGGGTAAGGGCACATGCTAAGCTCATTCCATAGAAACAAGGACAAGGATATTCTGGGAAGTTAGTACACCAAGAAGCAACTTTCAACTAATGATGAATGGATAAATATCTCAGCTTTTATATTCTTACTTGCAGCATTTCGGTGGTGTATTCTTCAATGTCTTTTACAATATAGCAGCAGGAAGAAGATTTAATTACTCACAGAAGTGTTCTACCCAGTAATACACCTTTTATTGGCTTAACTGCCTGCTATTTTTGAGATCACCTACCAAAGAAATTACTTGTACTCAAATTCTTTCTCAGAGCCTGCCTTTTGAAGAATTCAATCAAAGCCATTTTGTATTTGGAAATGGTTCAAGGAATTAGGCATTTGTTATGATATTCTGCAACTGTCCATTCACTGAACAGAGGGCAATAATAATTGCTATAGTCTAAATGTTTATGTTGAAATACTCACCCTGAAGATGATGATGTTAGAAGGTGGGACCTTTAGGAGAAGATTAGGTCACAAAGGCACAGAGCCCTCCATAAATGGGATTAGTGCCAGTTATGGTCTGCATGTTTTCCCCCCAAATTCAAATGTTAAAACTTAATTGCCAATCTGATAGCATGAAGATGTGGGACCTTGAGGAAGCAATGAGCACCCTTGTGAAAGAGGTAGAAGGGAGCCACGTACTCCTTCCACCATGTGAGGACACAGCTAAAGGCTTCATCTTGGGAGCAGAAAGCATCACACATCACACAGTCTTCTAATGCCATGATCTTAGACAGTCCAGCCTCCAGAATGGTGAGAAAATAAATACGTGTTCTTTATCAGTTACCCTGCCTCAGGCATTTTGTTATAGTAGCTGGGATGAACTAAATCAGTGTCCTTATAAAAGAGGCCCAAGAGAGATCCCTCATCTCTTTCACCATGTGAATGTAAAGCTATAAAAAAATAAAGATTAAAGGCTTTCTGTGAAGAAATGGACCCTCGCTGGGTACTACATTTATTGCCACCTCAATCTTGGACATTCCAGCCCCAGAACTGGGATAAATAAATTTCTGTTGTTTATTAGCCACCCGGTCTGTGTCATTTTGTTATAGCAACCTGGATGAACTAAGGCATTACCCACCGCTATTAATAAGTAGAAGGATGATAATCCTTTTCGTATTATAACATCACAACTACTAAGAGTCTCATTTGTAGTAAAAATGACTGGGGTCTAGAAAGAATGAAATTCTGTGATTTATATGGTATTTTTAGCAGTTGAAAAATGTAACAGCATTGGTTAGAATGAGTTAATGAAGTGAGTTGGCTACAAGTCTCTGCCATGGAAGTCTTAATGGAAGAAAATAACAGTATCGGGTCGGCGAATTATCAATTCAGGTAATGGTATAAAAGTCAGAAAGACACCAGGACAGCATTTAAATAAATTTTTATTTCTTACATGAAGAATGTGGACTAAGATGAAAAAACAGGCTCATGATCTCTTTGTAGGAGTGGTGAAGCTATGACGAATCTGGAAGTGTAGCCTTGGTAAATCTCTTATTATAAAGTCAGTGTCCTGATAAGAAAGGAGTGGAATTTAAGATCTAGGATGATAATATTTTAGTAAATATGTTTGAGATAATTGAATCTTTTAATATCCATTCTAAAAGAAATGTTCCCCCATTTTTCCTTTACTAGAGAAATTCACCTCCCTTTGCCTGGAAACGATGCAAACACTTCACTTGAGGCAAGGACTATACAGATGATTCTTGGTGTTCTTAACATATGCTACCACTTTCACTCATTATTTCTAGGACAATAATTAGATTTGAGATTCAGCAAGGTCCGAAAGGAAGAATATTATCTCTACTTGGGAAAATAAAATTTATTCAATAAAAAAAATCAACACATACCTATTACATACTGGGACATTCCCAGAAGACATGCAGAAATATACTTGAGAATGAACCTGGGAGGGGGAAAAGAATATAAGCAGTATGCATGATAATTTCTTAATTCAGGGGAGTATTCCATAATTTAGTATTCAATACCCTAACAAGAATACCTGGAGCTATCTTGAATATTCTATTAGGATGCCTCCTTAGAGCTTGGAAGCAGCAATGGTTTTTTGTAAAGGAGGTAGATGCGTTGGAATTGCTTTGGCAAAAGCAGTGTTCAAAAGATCCTGAGAGGTAGTGTCTTAATCCATTTTCTTTTGCATATAACATAACACTTAAAAATGGGTAATTTGCAAAGGGAAAAAAATATTTCTTAAAGTTATGGAGGCTGAGAGATTCAAAGTCAAGAAGTTTCATCATGTGAAGGTTTTCTTGCTGACAGGGACAGCCTGTAGAGTTCTGAGGCAGGGCAGAGCATTAAATGGCAAGGGTGCTAAGCATGCTATCATCTCAGATGTCTGTTTCTCTTCTCCTAAATCCACCACTCTCACTTGGTGACAACCATTAATCCATTAAACCATTGATTATTTAATGGATTAATCTTTCCATGAGGGCAAAGCCCTCAATCACCTCTGAAAGTCCCCACCTCTCAATAGTGCCACGTTGGGGATTGAGCTTAAACATGAGTTTTGGAGGAGGCAAACATTCAAACTATAGCACGGGGTCATATAATATTGGATTTACTATGGTTACTATAGTATTGGGATTTACTATGCAAGACTAAAGGACTTATCAGCTGACTGTATTCCCTAGAAAGGTCTGAAGCAATGAAGGTTCTACTAGGGTTAAGGAAAAGCTCTATGATGGCTTTCTTCTAGAGATAGAATTGATGGTAGGATATGTGATATGGAACTTCACTTCCTAGTGATAAAGGAGCAGAATTCCAGAAGAACTGAAGTTGGTGGTGGAGCTAACTGCCAGAAACAAAATGGACATGATTGCCGTGAGAGACAGAAAGTTCAGAAAGCTAACAAGGGGCCCTCACATTTTGTGGATGGCTAATAGATCATAGAGTCCTTAGAAGCAAAATGGATGGCCAATGAATATGGTTATTACTTGCTATAGATAACAACAACAACAACAACAACAAAATCAACAGCAAACAGCTAAAAGAAGATTTCAGCCATTATAATGGAAAACCACTGCAATGCAGATATGAGTTTTCAAACTTGAACCAGCTCTCAGGCCTATAGTCCAGAAACTGGAAAAGAAGGAAATGAGACTAATCCCCTTCCAAATAGTCCTTTCAACATGTCAGCAAAAGAATATACAACATCTATTCTTTAAATTATTTTCCAAAAGGTTCTATAGCCATTTATCAAAGTAACTGTACATTGCAGGAAATTTAAAAAAAAAGTCATTGTGCATGTAGAGTCAAAAGATAATAATACCTAAAAATTCAAAATGCTATCATAGATTCCTTGTTAGAATAAGATATATGAGGTTCAGATGATAAACAAAAACCTGATTGAATTGTATCTCACAGCAGTTTCATTGTGTCCATGGAAACATATCATTATTGTTTTCATAGTTACCTAATGTTTAATTGAAAAGAATATACTTAGCAACAGAGAAACCCATCATATTATTTCCTTAACCTGAGAAAAAATATTCATTATGGTAAAAAAGGTAATGCAGAAGCCCCTGATATTTTTCTCAAACTGAAATTTAGCCGAAAGAGTATATCAAAAGCAAGACAATATTCTGGAGAGAAAGACAGGGATTAGTGCACTCCTTAATGACAAAGTATGCAAGTGCCAATATAGATATTGCAAAAACCAGGTGGATCGTTGTGAAGAACAATGGATTGTTGTAAAGTTCACCAAATGTTAGTTCTAATAACAGCTGCTTTACCAGATGTGGTATATTTACTGTAATAACTTAACACAGCATCTAGACATTAGTATGCAGGTATTGAGATAAAATATGTTCTTTATAATATGGGTAAAGGAGAATCAAAAGCAATTCACACTCAACAGACCATGGTACACATTTGCAGTCTTCTCTGTAGGCTACAATAATCTCCTGTCAGTATTGTCCAAAGGAGCCTTGAACATGTAGATATTCCGAAGATCATCAAACTAGTCAGTTCTATTAACAATAAGATGTTACTTAGAATTGATGGGCAATAAACGGTAAATGTTTTGGACTCCCTGATAAAATACATGCATGTCAGAAGTGGGAGATTAAAACTTGTAAGGATTCAGAGACCTGCATTATTGATGAAGTTTTCACATATCCAATATCTGGAGACATATAGAAATATCACATGCAAGATAAAACATAAGTCATGACATCCTACACCATCTCCACTTAAAATAGTGGCATAATGCCTGGAAAACCTCTACAGATTTTGGAGCTGCACTTCATTCACTTGGGAATACTTCTCAATCCATTTGCCAAGTGTCTTGGAAGTCTAAAAAGAGCAACATCCTAGAGAAAGTTTAGTTTGTAGTATAAATTGTCTTGTTATTTGAACTATGTACAACATAAGATTCCATGGTTCTGAAGTCATCTGTGGGGATAAAGATGCTATGCTGCGTCTCCAGCAATTTATAATAGGACAATCCAGCTCAAGGCACTAGGAAGCTCAAGAAATATTGAAAAGTCTGACTCTGGTACATCAAGTTTCTCTGTGACCAGGGCTGAGCATCTTTCCAAAGTTCATGCTTGACTCTAAGAAAATTAAGAGATGGGACTTTTTGGGAAGTGATTAAGTCATGAAGGCAGAGGCTTCACAAATAGGATTAGTGCCCTTATGAAAGAGATAGAAGGGAACTGCCTTGTCTTTCCACCATGTAAATGGGTAGCAAAAAAGGCACCATTTATAGAGCAAAGAACAGGTCCTTAGCAGAAACTGAATCTACTGGTGTCTTGATCTTGGACTTCCCAGCCTCCAGAGCTCTGATAAATATATTTCTATTGTTCATAAATTACCCAGTCTAAGGCATTTTGTTGTAGCTACCCACACAGACTAAGACAATTCTTTTGTCATTTGTCATTACTTCTATTGCAGTGATCTGACATGTTTTCCTAAGTGCCCATCTATAGCTTTGATGAGTGGGAATAGTTTCTATGGTCAGTTGACAGAAGGGGAAAGTATCAGGGCCTTGTTCACAGATGAATCAGGTCAATATGTTAATAAAGCAGGTGTTGAGGGCTACCACAAAACATGGGTAGTCTTGGAAGACAATGGATAAAGATTATCCTTCCAGTGGACACTTCTTCAAGCAGTATACCTAGCTATTAATTTTATGTGGAGAGAAAAGTGGCCTTATGTAGGAATATACATAAAATCCTGGCAAGTATTGATTGAAGATAGAAAATGGTCTATAAGGTGGTCTGAGAAGGGGCATATGAATTGGCACATGAGAGTGAGTACAAAGTGTGTGAGTCTTCGTCTCTCACATAAAAGTCCACCAAAATGCACCCTCTAGATAAAAAATACTAATCAAAGAGGAATGAATGATTTGTCCAGTGGATTTTAAGCATCCTCTGTTTCTGTCACACCAATGCTGTCATGATGGACTCATGGTGGAGGAATCTGTTGGAAGAATATAGGATCTGCATGGGCCTAACATGCTTGGCTCTCAATCAGCAAGATATCTGTCTGCTGGAGCAGATGCCAAAGCTAGGCTCTTTTTGTATTACCGGTGATTGAGGTGTTAAGTATGAATGGGCAATTGCAGCAACCACAGGCTCGTAAGGGCACAAAAAATAAGAGTTCATATTCTTCCCAGGAATGAAGGCCTAGTTGCCCCACGGGGCAAATACCTGCACCAGCATAAGAGATAACCTAAAAAGGATAGTCTGGAATGAGTGTTAGAGAAGGCAGATAAATATTAGGGCCTTGAGCACTGCATCAATGAATATTCTGGCTCATTCCACTAACTTTCTTGTTGGAAGTTATTTTCTCTTTTAAAAAGTTGTGACACAGCATTACTTTAAAGAACCAATGGCAGTGAAGAATGAACATGAGTGGATGGTTAACTATGATACAGTAGATGTTAATGATGCCACTTCTGCCCATGTCTACTTGGCATTTGTACATATATTCTGACTGATAGCTTCCTAGTGTGAGCATAAGAAACCCTTTGAGGCCGGGCACACTGGCTCATGCCTGTAATCCCAGGACTTTGGGAGGCCGAGGAGGGTGGATCATCTGAGTTTGGGAGTTTGAGAACAGCCTGGCCAGCATGGTGAAACCCCATCTCTACTAAAAATACAAAAATAAGCCGGCCATGGTCGCTCATGCCTGTAATCCCAGATACTCAGGAAGCTGAGGAGGGAGAATTGCTGGAACCGGGTTGGGGGGTGGGGGGATGGGGGCCGAGGTTTCACTGAGCACTCCAGCCTGGGTGACAGAATGAGACTCCATCTAAAAAAAAAAAAAAAGAAAGAAACCCTTTGATGGCTTTTTCTGGCTATGGAAATTTTCTCAGCTTGCAAGCAGTGCAAGTGTAATATTCTGGGGGAGTTAATTCATCCAAAACAGCTCTAGAGAAGTTATAGAATGAGCAATTTGATAAGCACCCCAGCTTGCTTCATTCTCTCTGAGACATTTTCTAAATATTTTCCATAATTCCCTTACAGGATTAAAATCCAGTCACCCATATCAGTAATCTTCTCAATAAAGCATCTTTGGAGTCCCCTTCTCTGTCACGTTTCTGCTCTTCCTTCCCCCATTACCTCTCAAATAAACCTATTTCACTTAAATCCTCTCTCATAGTCTGCTTCTGGGGAACAAAACTTAAAGGAAAATCCATGCATGACTTACATCAATATAAAGCCAATTATATTTCAAGGCTCCTCATAGGACCATTTCCCTCCAATAAATTCTGCTTTAATGTGCCCAGCCTACGATAATATTGTAATCCTATGAAGACCTATTGACATTAATTATGACACATATTTTGGCCTTCATAAATAAATATCTGGAATTATGCATTTTTTGTTTAAAGTTTTACTCTCTTGTCTCTCCAGGATTTTATCCCTTCATAGTGTTATCTACACACAGTCAGTGATAAAAACTCTTGCTGAATTTTATCAAATCTTGCCATCTTTGTTGGACTTTTAGGCAATGAGGATCTATCCCTTCTACTGCATCAGTATGAACTCATACTCTCAGTGCAATGAGCGGAAGTTCTAAACAGTTGATAATTCAATGGTTAATGAACTCTATGGTTAATGAACCATAGAACTCTGACAGTTCTATGGTTAATGTAGTCAACACTACATCTCTGCTTTCTCTCTCCAGCTTAATGAGTTTGTGAGTAGTTTCTCCTATGATGTTACACTCACATATTGATAGTAATTCATAGAATCACATGATTCAGCTCCCTAACAGAAATGCAAATGATAATTAATGGTCAATACACCATCTTACTTTGACACCAAAGAATCAATATGATAATCCTGTGGTCTCTATTTTCCTATTCTAATAGGAAACAGTTTTATATTAATTACTGCTGTAGCAAATGACTACAAATTTTGTTCCTTAAAATAACACACCTTATTATTTTACACTGCTGAAGATCCAAAGTTAGAAATGTGTCTCAATGAACTGAAATCAAGGTGTCAGCAGGGCTGCATTCCTTCTGGAGGCACTAGGGAAAACCTTTTCTTGCCTTTTTCAGCATTTAGTGACCACTTGCATTCCTTGGCTTTAGACACCACCTTCCATTTTCAATTGCAGAAACTTCAAATCTCTCTTTCCTCTTCTCCTTCCCTCTTTTACTTTAAGAACTCTTTTAATTACATTTGGCCCACCCAGGTAAACAGGTAAACTGGTTAGGCAATCAGCTAACTTAATTGCATCTGCAACCTTAATTCTTCCTTGTCATGTAACATACCATATCCACAGGTTCTGGAAATTAGGACATGGCCATCTTTGGCAGGTGTCATTATTTTGTCTACCACACCCCGCATTTCTCCTTGGTGCTGATGTTCTAAGAACTAAGTAAAAAGATACACAATTATTTTAAGTAACAATGTCATTTGTCTACCAATTGATGTTTAGTAACTCTGGACTATAAATAACATTTTACTATTGATTAATGAATGAGGAATATTGACTTTTAAGGAGGTGATTGGACATACTATATTGGAAATAGCATACTCTTTCGCCAGCTAATTAAACAATTGTATTTGCATTTACACTTTTTATACCGAATTTATTTTATATCCACTGCTTGTCTACTCTCTAACATTAAGTAGACCATCTAGAGCAGTGCTGATTAGTGGAAATATAGTGTGATCCCCCAATCTGAGCCACGTATATAATTTTAAATTTTCTAGGAGCCATATTTAAAAATGTAATAAGAAACAATTGAAATTAATTTTAATAATTTATACAATACAATGTTAAGATATTTTAACATGTACTCAATATAAAATAACAATGAACTAATTACATTCTTTTTTGTTCGCGCTGTATATTAGAAATCTAGCCTATATTTTCACTTACAGCATATCTCAATTTGACTTGGCACATTTCAAGTGCCAGATGTGCCTAATGACTACCATACTGGGCAGTGCAATGTAAAATGAAAGGGTACTCAGGGTAATTGTTAAGAATTTCCACCTCTCAATTCTTTTTAAAATTAAATAAAAAGAAGTAGGAATATTTTAGCTTGGAGAATGGAAGTATGTTAATTTAAAATTCACAAATAACTGTTGACTACTTTTTACTGAGTTGTGGGGTAAATCCAATGCACAATTATTTTTTCTGTACAATATCAAGGCATCTATAACATTGTTTTCTATATAGCCATATAACCATATGGGTTTCTATATATATATATATTTGTGCACATGTATATATGTGTATACATGTTATCTACATAGAACGATTATATTTGTGCATATGTAACATACATACATGTACATGATGACTAATATTAATATTATTTATCTGATCTCTACACCAATAACAAATTTATTTTGTGAATAAGAAAGGAAGAATAATAGTTTATGTGAGGTTTAGAGAGATTCACACATATACACAACAGCAGAAACACAAACACACAAATTTAGAGTTTGGTATATTTTTGCCAATCTACAACAAAAATAATTAGTTTAAATTGTATCATAAGAATTTCTGAGTTAAGAGGACCGCAGGTCCTTGTGTTAACTGGTAATTTCCCGAAGATAGTAATTAAATCTAAGAGAATGATTGACCTAAGATCCTGATTACTTAATTATCTTAAATATGTTGCCCTTCTTTGATTAGTTTATATTGCTATTAAATTTATCAACTTAGAGTTTCTCTCTAGGCTATTAAATATTTGACTTCCATCTTTTTATCCTTCATCACTTCTCTTAAACAACCAACTTATTATAATTAAATTAAGTTTCCAGAATAAAATTAAATGATAATATGTAGAATTTATTACTATGATTACAGGGATATGAACTATTACATGGATTATTAGTCAAGGTTAAGAGATCAGAGGATTCATTATACATAAACTTGAAATTTGTTTTCAGATGTCTCTACTTCTAAGATAAAAACACATAAACACATCCATTTGTTTAAAGTCATATTTGTGAGCATTTTGTAAACAAAGTGTTAAAGCAGTTATGCAAAATTCAGTTTTTATTACGTACTCTGGATATTAATGAAACTATAAAAACTAAAAAGTTCTAAAAAGTCAAAAAACTAAGAGTGCATATCTTCTTGGTGCACTATATTTCTAGGAACCTAAAGTGGATTCACCTTGGATATATTTCTTACAGTGCAATTTCAGCTTTTATCTGGTCCTTATGACACCTGTCTAAGCAAGTTTCTGCTTTCACAAAATATTGTGAAAGATACAGGGACCATATATTTTGTTACTCTATTGCCAAGCATACACCATAATTGAACTTTGAAAAAGATTCAAAAAGTTTTCTTCACAGTAAAACATTAACAAAAAATGTTTTATCCTAATAAGTTTATATTTGAATTCCTGAAAGTATGTTATTAATGCTTTGATTTTCACTGTTACAAAGAGGATGTAGATACCTTCTATTTATTCTATACATTGTTTACCTATGTTTTTTCCAGTTGATTGTAAGTGCTTTTAAAGTATTTATTTATCTAGCTATGTGCAGCTAGATAAATAAGCACTATACACACACATATATATGTATACACACACACTCACACATATATGTGCAAATCTATAATTATATATAAGTGTATGTATATATATAATATATATGTAAAGTTTGGCATTTTGCATACTGCTTGGACTAGTCAAATCTTATGAAACTTTTTTTGGTATGAATTTGTTATCCAACTTATCTTCTATATTCATCTATTTGCATCTTCAAAGTTTTTTTGGCTATCAATTTTTCTAATGCTATATTCTCCAAATAAGTAAAAATTTTGTTATTTATTGAATTAGTATGAAAGGTCTATATTTTACCTCATATAATACACAATTCAAAGGAGGGAGATAAATATTGTATCACTAAAGACCTGATTTCTTTGTGTATTTTGTCTACCATTTTCAGGTCATTGGATTCATCTTTATTTAAGCTGCCCTTATTTTGAAAAGATAGATGTAGGACCTCCAGGCATCATATTCTCATGTTCTAATTCTTTCTGGATATGTTTGTTTCATTTGATCAAGGATCAGAAGAATTAATTGTAGCCATAATTAGTTTGCTTTATACTGTATTTCCTCTTTTAACAAAATCAAGGATATGCTTTTAGAGAAGCTTAAGTACAAGCTCCTCTTCATATGTCATACCCAGAAATTTGCCCTGTGTCCCTGCTTAATAAAGTCACTGACAAAGGGTAAGAGACAACTAAGATTGGTTTGGAAGCATGATTCCCTCCTAAGGCTGGGAACAGAGCCCAACATCTTTACTCGATTGCACCACAATAATAGTTGAATAGGGGAATAAATGGAGCCATAATTCTAACTAGAGACATGATAATTGGTTTTACTATCTTCAGAGAGATAAAACTATTAGCGAAATCAGTTAAATTTTTATCAGATCTTCTCTCTCTAGAAGTATAAGGCTTGCAAAAGATAACGTAGTTTAACATTCTCCGCCTTACTAAGTGTCATCTGTTAGGTTTTATGTATGAAAATAATTATGCTTATTCTTGGTCTGACTGAGTAGCCTGTAAATGTATTTGTATATTTATATCAATGATTTTTTTCATAAGCTTGACAAAAATTTTGTCCTCATTTATGAATTTTCATATAGGGTAGTATTTTCATAATTTTAGCATTAGATCCCACTACAAGATGGTAAAATCTCTTTCTGTGTTTACTTTAAACATGCAATTTTTAATTTTATTTATTTTTTGGCTCTATCTAATTTTGTAATCCCAGAAAGACTATCTTGAGAAGGTATTTCATGTGTGATAAAATATTACTTTTGTTTTATTACTCATTGAATTTCTTTCTATAGTAAAATTTTATATATATTTTCCAACATACCTTGTTATTCATTTTTCCTTAGACTTAGTGACAAATTGTTTATTATAATGGAAGTAACAATTAATGCTGTTCAATGGAATCAAGTATACAGTTGTTTATTCATATATAAATGAAAATCTCCCTTAAATAGCATTTCCCTGCTAAACATTTATTTTTGGACATCCTCTCTTCTTTTGTAAGAAACCCATTTTTTAATTTCAAAAATTAATTTTTAAGTAATTGTTTAATTTTTAGAAAATAAAATTGTACCATTGGCAATGCAGTCTTTTTTTTTTAAAAAAAATATCTATCACCATTATGTTTTTTAACACCAGCCATGGACAGAACTTTAAAATTTTCCAAAGTATGCACTAGTAATCAGAGGAGATATATTCAGTTAGGGAACTTATAGTCTATGTGAAGAATATACAGTAACATTCCAAACATTTTACTTGCTCATTCCTCTCTGAATTCTCAGATATCTGTGACTAAAGACTCAGTAGCCAGTAGTCACAGACTACAAAGACTCAGTAGTCACAAAAAAAAGAAGGTCAATGGAGTTACAATACATAGTTCAATAAAAATAAATCAGGAAACAAAAGTATCAATGAACGAAAATTAACACCATTAAATATTTTAATGAATTTATATCAAATATAAAAGTTTAATTGCAGTATCCAAAAATTAGAATATATTATAAAATGTTTACACTAATTTGTTTAGAATATTTGATTCTTCTCCAGGAGAAAAGCAACCACTTAAAGAAATATAAACACTGCATTAAATCAATTTTTAAGGCCATAAGTTAGATAACATTTAATAGTTATGTTAGACATAAGGCAGAAATAAATCTTAAGAAGTTTATGGTTGAAATGTGTGTGTAAGAAAATGATTCCAAACAAATTTCACTACTGTTACATAATCTGGATTTGAACTTGTTTGGTGAAATTCGACAGGACATTTAACTTCCTTGGAGCTTAGTTTTATTGATAGCATTATTATTAAATGCCAGACACTGTTCCTATCCCTTTACATATACCTGTCTTCACAATAATCCTAAAAGGTTGGTATTATTATTATCTTGACCTAAGATGGGGAAGCTGAGACCAAAGAGGTTAAATTATGATTGAGTTGAATTCAAATCTTGACTGTCTACCTTTCCAAAATTCCATGTTCTTAACCACAACTCTATATTCCTCTTTATTTATAAACATAAGGGAATTGAATTATGTCAAGTTTTTCTTCCACCTTCAAGAGTCAAATAACTTATGTTAGACTTAGTTCAGATACAGGCCAATTAAAGAGGCCACCAGGAGAAAAGAGCATTAGTGGCCAGTAAAATCAGAAAATATGAAACATTCATTATGAATGCCATATTTTATGGAGTCATTATTTGTGGTTTGATTTTAAAATTTCTGTGAATGATTCTTAGACTACAAATTAAAAAGCAAACATAGATGAACTAGAATGGCACGATTCAGGTCAATTCTTCAAAAACGGCTAAACGTGAAAACAAATTATTCTATATTCCATATTTTTGGTATAACAAACACCTTTTAATGACCCAAAATATTATCAATATCTGAAGGGTAGTAGTTGGACTTTTAGTATCTATTGATTGAAAAAAACCGCACTATGTCGAAAGCTACTACAACTTTGCAATGCATTTAAAGGAGCTTATATTTTATTAGTCACAATGACATAAGGATGGATTTGAAAAACAATACCTATACAATAAAATGTATTCATTTTGTCAAAAATAAAATTCTTCTTCACTTAGTTTTACAGACCCCATAGAGACCCAGGCAAATTATGTATTTAAATTGTTAGAAGGAGCTAGGCATCGTATCTGTAATCCCAGGACTTTGGGAGGCCAAAGCTGGAGAATAGCTTGAGGCCAGGAGTTTGAGACCAGCCTGGGCAACATAGTAAGACCCCATCTCTACAAAAATAAAAAATAAAGTTAGGTGGGCATGGTGACATGCACCTGTGGTCCTGGCTACTAGGGAGGCTGAGACATGAGGATTGTTTAAGGCCAGAAGTTTAAGGCTGCAGAGAGCTATGATTGTGCTACCACACTCCAGTCTGAGCAACAGAGTGAGACCCAGTCTGTCTCTTAAAAAAAAGACAAAGAAAGAAAGAAAGAAAGAAAGAAAGAAAGAAAGAAAGAAAGAAAGAAAGAAAGAAAGAGAGAGAGAGAGAGAGAGAAAGAAAGAAAGACAGAAAGAGAGAGAGAGAAAGAAAGAAAGAGAGAAGAAAGAAGGAAGGAAGGAAGGAAGAAAGGGAGGGAGGGAGGGAGGGAAAAGAAAGGAAAAGAAGAGAAAATAAGAAAAATGTTAGAAGAAAAGTATCCTACACTTTTATTTGATTACATAGAGGGGAAATTTTTCCACTCTTAAGAAGAATCATTTCACTTTCCTTAAGCAGTAAAGATACATTTGTGGAGTTAATTTAGAGAAGAAACTGACATTATATTACATTTCTTCGCTTTTTAAATTTTCAGATGAGCTTGCTTAATAATATGTTCTGTCTGCTATTTGGGATACTGTAAACTGACACTAACAGGCTCTATCTCGTGGAGATAACTTGTATTTGTCTCTTTGTGCAAGTGATTAGGTGGATAAATTTGTCTTATTATGGTAAAAATGGTCAGATCACTAGGCCACTCACATAAAGACAAATCTTTTAATTAGCTTTGTCAGTAATGTGGTGACATTTGATGTCCACTTGTTGGCTTGTAACTTATTTTTCACAAATTTGGAATTTTGAAAGATAAAACATAATGATATTTATTATCTCTTTAAGAGTATGTCATATCTAGTATTTTAGAGCTAAGACAGTGCCTTCCAAATGGTATACAATAAATAAATAAATGTATTAATGACATATATAGAATATACAACTGAGACATAAGAACAATTACTGAAAAGCATGGATACAAATTTACTTTTATATTATTTGTAAGTGTAATAACTTTGAATAGATATTTAAGTGTAAAGCTAAGCTCTAGGCTCCAAATAAATACAAATGTTATTTGAAATTCCTTAGATGTCAGTATTTAATATATTTTATCAAAATACAAGTGTGCAATATATGATTCAAATATCAATGTGCAAATCTGGCCAAGAGACCTGATGCTTCGAAGTTTATTGTCACATTTAACTAATTGACTGGGAAGAAATAACCAACAAACCAAAACTTACGTCTTCTGTATAAAAAATCATCTTCCAGTCCTTTACAATTTTAATACAACCCGAAAAATGAAAATTTGTCTTTACAATATATGAGTTGGCCATAAACCACTATATGTGTTCATTATGTTTTTCCAAAGAGTAATGCACTATCTATCAAAGAAACTGGCCAGTGGTTCTAGCAAATAAATATGTCACATTTTTCAATACTTATTTTGTATGAATAATGATATTTAGTTTATTATAATGAGCTTCTAATTAAGATCCTTAAATTGAACTTTTCAAGTTTTTAGTTCTGAGAAGCATGACAGTAAATTAAAGAAGTCTATTATATGTTAAACTGTTTTCTGAACAAAATTTTTGTTGCCAAAGAAACATTTATTTTCCTAATAGAACACATTTTCAGGGTCTCATTTGTGTTAAAAATATTCTTACTCTAATCTAACTTATTTAGGAATTAAAAAGACATTACTGTATGAATTACATACAATTAAAAAATTGACCTTGTATTTTAGATGAGTTCATGAATTAACAAATAAATAATAAATTTTTATAAATGCATTTGTACCTCACTTCTGGTTTTGTGGTTTAGAGTTGTAAAAAAATTCTTTCATTCTTTATGTTTTAATTTTATCTTTGTTTAATTTGTAAACTTTTAATATATTTTTAATTAACATTCATTTTTAGTAATTTTCAATAATTTTCAACCATATATATATATTATGTTTTTGGCTTTCCTTGACTTATTTGAAACTAAGAACATAAATAAATTGCTTCATTTTACAAGGTAAGCTCTCCAGGGGTAGAATCTGCTTTATTCATTGCCATAGCCACATTGCCTGCAATAGCGAATAATACATAATGATTTATCTAAGTTAATTGATCAATTTTCAAAATAAATTCATTTTTAGAAAATAAATTATTTTTCTATTTAAATTTGTCACTGTGTAAATATTTAAAGAAAATGACATTTTATTCTTTTATGTCAGATATCAAGTTTTTTAAAAAAGTCAACATTTTCAATGTGTTTCTTCTAGATTATTTTATATCTTATATATTATTAATTGTTCTAATTAATACAAAAATCTCTATCTGCTTTACAATATATTAGATTGATAATAGAAAGTTGACAGCAGGATTATATGAGACTAGAGAAGTTGAGTTTCTCTGATGATAATAAAATCTTAAAGTTCACCTAAAATAAGAACACATGGTAAATAGTGAAAAACAGGATTTATTCAGAAATTTACTTTGAAAAATGTATAAGGATTTATAAAATTGTTTATGCTATCTTTATCTAAATCTCAAATTTAAATAAAATGAAAATTGAAATTGTTTCTTGTTGAAACAATTTAGTGTTTTTTGCCTCTCAGCATTATTCTATAAGGAAGTTTCACGATAGCATAATATAATTTTCACTTAGTGCTGAACTTTTACAACAGGAGTATTAAAATATTGACTTTAAAAAAATTCAGTCAATTTACCCATTTTCTCTAGACTCCTCCCAATCTTCTGATAATTAAATAATTTTTATTTTGACATTTTTTTCTAGTTCAATTTTTAAAAGATTCTATTCTTTATTAATTGAATTAAATCTTGCAAATCCTCACATTTTAATGGGTTTGCCTGTGTTTTTCAACCATTATCTGCTTTCATGAATTCATGCATTTTTAAAAAACTTTTACTTTAGGTTCAGGGGTAGATACGCAGGTTTGTTACATAAGTAAAATTGTGTCACAGAGGATTGCTGTACAGATTATTATGTCACCCAGGTACTAAGCCTAGTACACAGTAGTTATTTTTTCTGCTCTTCTCCCTCCTCCAAGCTTCTACCCTCAGATAGGCCCCACTGTCTGTTGTTTCCCTTTTTGTGTTCATGAGTTATCATTTAGCTTCCACTTATAAGTGAGAACATGAGATATTTGGTTCTCTGTTCCTGCATTAGTTTGCTAAGGATAATGGACTCCATATCCATCCATGTTACTGCAAAAGACATGATCTCATTATCTTTATGACTGCATAGTATTCCATGGTGTAGATGTACCACATTTTCTTTCTCCAATCTGCCATTGATGGGCTTTTTGTTTGACTCCATGTCTTTGCTCTTGTGAATAGTACTGGAATGAGCATACTCATGTATGTGTCTTTATGGTAGAATGGTTTATATTCCTTTGGGCATATACCCACTAATAGGATTGCTGGGTCAAATAATACTTCTTGTTTTAGCTCTTTGAGGAATTACCATACTGATTTCCACAATGGTTGAATTAATTTACACTCCCCCACCAACAGTGTATAAGTGTTCCCTTTTCTCTGCAACCTCACCAACATCTGTTATTTTTTGAAATTTTAATAATAGCCAGTTTGACTGATGTGAGATGGTATCTCATTCTGGTTTTCATTTACATTTCTCTAATGATCAGGAATATTGAGATTTTTTTTCATATGCTTTTTGGCAGCATGTATGCCTTCTTTTGAAAAGTATCTGTTCATATTCTTTACCCAATTTTTAATGGGGTTGTTTTTTTCTTATGAATTTCTATAAGTTTCTTATAGATGCTGAATATTAGACCTTTGTCAGATGCAAACTTTGCCCAATTTTTAATGGGGTTGTTTTTCTCTTATGAATTTCTGTAAGTTTCTTATAGATGCTAGATATTAGACCTTTGTCAGATGCAAACTTTGCAAATATTTTCTCATACTCTTTATGTTGTCTGTTTACTCTGTTGATAGTTTCTGTTACATCTGGGTGCTCCCGTGTTGGATTCATCTGTATTTAAGATAGTTAGGCCTTCTTGTTGAATTGAATTCTCTACCATTATGTAATGTTCTTCTTTGTCTTTTCTATCTATTTTGTGTTAAAGTCTGTTTTGTGTGAAATTAGGATTGTAATGCCTGCTTTTTGTAATAATTCATTTGCTTGGTATATTTTCCTCCATTCCTTTATTTTGAGTGTATGGGTGTCATTACCTGTCAGATGGGTCTCTAGAAGATAGCGTACAATTGGATCTTACTTTTTGTCCAGCTTGACACTCTGTACCCCTTTTTTTTGAGAAGGAGTCTTGCTCTGTTGCCCAGGCTGCAGTGCAGTGGTGTGATCTCAGCTCACTGCAACCTCCGCCTCCCAGGTTCACACCATTCTCCTGCCTCAGCCTCATGAGCAACTGGGACTACAGGCGGCCGCCACCATGCCCGGCTAAATTTTGTATTTTTAGTAGAGACAGGGTTTCACCATGTTAGCCAGGATGGTCTTGATCTCCTGACCACGTGATCCACCCATCTCGGCTTCCCAAAGTGCTGGGATTACAGGTGTGAGCCACCACATCCGGCCACTCTGTGCCTTTTAATTGGGATATTTAGCCCATTTACATTTAAAGTTATTATTGATATGTGTGGATTTGATCCTGTCATTGTGGTGTTAGCTGGTTATTATGCTTGTTTGTGTGGTTGCTTTATAGTGTCACTGTTCTGCATATTTAAATGTGTCTTTGTATTAGCTGGGAATGGTTTTTCCTTTCTAAATTTAGTGCTCCTTTCAAGATCTCTTGTAAGGCAGATCTGGCAGTAACTATCTCCCTCAACATTTGCTTATCTGAAAGAATCTTATTTATCCTTTGCTTAGGAAGCTTACTTAGACTGGATATAAAATTTTTGATTGAAAATTTTTTTCTTTAAGAATGTTGAATATAGGCCTCCAATCTCTCCAATCTCTTCTGGCTTGGAGGATTTCAGCTGAGAGGTCTTCTGTTAGCCTGATGCGAGTTCTCTTTGTAGGTGACCTGCTCTTTCTTTCTTTCTGCCTTTAACATTCTTTCTTTCTGCCTTTAACATTCTTTCTTTCTTTTTAGAAATTATTAGAAAATCTAATAATTAAGTGTCTTTGGGATGATCTTCTTGTATAAAATCTTGCAAAGGTTCTCCCTATTTCCTGAAGTTTACTGATTTGCCTCTCTAGCAAAGCTGGGGAAGTTTCCATGAACAATATCCTGAAATTTGTTTTCCAAGTTGTTTGCTTTCTCCCCATCTCTTTCAGAGATGCCAATGATTTGTAGATTTGGCCTTTTTACATAATCCCATATGTTAAAGAGCTGCTGTTCATTTTTTAATTTTTTTTTGTCTGTCTTATTTCAAAGATCCAATCTTCAAGTTTTGAGATTTTTTTTGCAGTTTGGTCTATTCTGCTGTTAATACTTGTGATTGCATTATGATATTCTTGCGTGTATTTTTCAGCTTCATCAGATCCTTTAGGTTCTTTTTCATACTGGGTATTTCACCTTTCAGCTCCTGTATCATTTTATTGTGATTCCTAGTTTCCTTGGATTGGGTTTTGCCATTCTCCTGAATCTTGATGATCTCTGTTTCTATTCATATTCTGAATTCTATTTATGTCATTTCAGCCAGCTCAGCATGGTTAAGAACCCTTGCTGGAAAACCGGTTTATTTGTTTGGAGGACACTCTGGCCATTTGAGTTACTGGAGTTCTTGCATTGGTTCTTTCTCATCTCTGCAAGCAGGTGTTCCTTTAACTGCAAAGTAGACTGAGTACAGTCGATAGACATCCTTTCTGGATGTATTCACAGGGCTGAAACTTTGTGTAGGGACTTTATTTATAGCTGACTTCCTGTCTTTGGTTTCACAGATGGGTATATTAGTGAGGTATTTTTGGTGTTGAAGCTTTAGGGTATGATCCAGTGGGTGGTGCTAAGGTGTATTGGTCAGTTGGTAGGCTCTTGCTGGGTCATATGGCTCCCCTAAATATCCTCAGAGTTGCAGCCATGCTCCCTCCCAATGCCTTGAAAGTTTGAATTCCTCTTCCACTTGAGTGCTGGCTGTGGATTGCAGCTTGGCACGCCTTGGCTGCCCACCACTGCTCTGGGGCAATCTCAGCATTTATGTTTCTTCCCCAACTTGGAGGCAGCAGAGGAAGGGACCTTAGTAGTGATTGTGGCCTAGGGTCCTTTGCTTGTCTCCTGGGGGTCCTACCCCAGAGAGAAAATCCTGCATCTTTTAAAATATTTGCGTTTTGTCTTTGTAAATAGATCTCATTTGTATTTATATTGCAGTGATCAATAATTACATATATGATCACTGAAGAAAAACTCATTGATCAATGTTTTTTTTTTTTTTTTTTTTTTTTTTGAGATGGAGTCTCATTCTGTTGCCCAGGTTGGAGTGCAATGGCGTGATCTCGGCTCACTGCAAACTCCGCTTTTTGGGTTCAAGCAGTTCTCCTGCCTCAGCCTCCCGAGTAGTGGGACTACAGGCTCCTCCCACCACACCCAGCTAACTTTTGTATTTTTAGTAGAGACAGGGTTTCACCATATTGGCCAGGTTGGTCTCAAACTCCTGACCTTGTGATCTGCTCACCTCAGCCTCCCGAAGTGCTGGAATTACAGGTGTGAGCCACTACACCCAGCTGACCAATATTTTACACTGATGCTAAGTCAAGATGGCTATTTGAGTGGGGACTATTACTTAAACTGGTTTAGTTAAGGAGGACTTGTTTTAATAAGTTTTGTTTAATTTAATAATTAACTTAATTTAATAATAATAAATCATTAAATTAATTTAATAATAACAAATTATTAAATAAATTTAATAATTTCCTTTTGGGATAATAAATAAATAATGAACTATTACCTGTATATGAAGTTAAATTCATAGGGCTGAGTCTGGAATTTGTCCTCAAATACGATAGCTTCAGTTTGAAGCCTAGAAAACTATCTGCCTAATATAATTACTATAAATAGTTGTTAATTTATAGCGTAACATTTATAAAATTATATGTAATAAAAAGAAATTTTATTGAAATAGCAGTGGTAGAAGAACAGGACTATATATGATTTTAGTCTCCTTACTCTAATTTCCACAGTGGCTATAATGAGAAGGTATTGATCATAAACCACAAGATTTAGTTGGGCAAATTTTATTTAGTTATGTTTTAATGATCAATTGTTCCTCAAAAGACCTATCATAATCGTTATCTCATTTTTTATATGTGAAAAATACTAAGAAATATTTTATGTGGTTAGAAATAATTATTTACAGATACTTCTGTGAAATCAATACAGGACCATAATTGATGCACATTGTTTTTTAAAATAAAAAATTATACCATAAGAAAGTCTAAAATCTATAGCAGTCCAGAGTTATGTGACATAAACAGTTTATTCTGCTAATGTGTGAAGTTAGTAATCTATTTTTCATTAAAGTCTTCTAAAAGTGGAAAAATTCAACTAGAGAACTCATCTTTGAAGAAAAAATTCATTACTACAGAAAATCACCCAAAATGCATATAGCAATATTATTTTCATTCTTCATATTTTCTAGATTTGAACATTGTAGAAAAAATTTTCTCCTTTTTATTAGCCACTACATTTGTAATGATTTTCATGATCTCATTATTGATCCCTTTACTTCTTTATCATGTCTTCTATTGCAATTTTAGCCATTAGGTATACCTATCATAACTAAGGTAATGGCTCCTTTCTAAAGTCATTACCTCAATTCTTTTCACTCTGTTTAACTTTGAATATGAACCCCATTTTAATTTTCCTACCTCAAAACTTAAATAAACTAGCATTTGCCTACGATAATTTTGCAACATTTTAAAGTTACTATTGTTTTATTTACAATTCCCTCTCAGGAGTTAATCTTTTAAAGTGTAAAGTATAATTGATGTGCATTACTTACTACTATATACAAACACTGTTTTATTGTTGTATATGTAGAGGGTCTTAATATTTTGTATTAAAACATTTTTGCTTTGTTTACCTTATAGATAAATTTACATGCTGAATTATAATTTTTTAAATAATAAATTTCAATAAATTGGATTTGAACTCACAATGCATGCATTTTAAGATTTTTGATGAATTTTTCAAAATGACTTTCAAGAAAAGTTCTATGAAAAGGCAAACATTTATAAGAATACATACTTCCATAGTCTTCATCATTTTTACATGATTTAACTTTTAGAGTACAAAAAGATATTGATTACTGTTTTGTTATTTTTAAACATTTATGAAATTTAATATTTTAATACATTTATGGGCTATTTATTTTTTATAGTTTGTTTTCATATTTATAGGTTTTATCAATTTTTCTATCCGTAATTTTTCATTTTAATATATATAAGAAGATATTGCACATATACTCATGCTACTATTGACAATTTTTAGCCATTATTATCTTTTTTGTAATGTTATAGATAGATCTACATATATAAATGTTTCACCTTGTTTGTTTTTAGGTAGACATCTTATTGTCCCATTTCCCTCTCCCAAATGATTAGCCAATGTGCCAGCATCACTTGTAGAGCAATCCATTCATTACCCAGTCATCACTATCAACAGACTTAAAATATATATATATATTATCTCATTATATTAATAAAAACATATGACAGATGCATATTTTTAAGTGTTTATACTTGAATCACCATCAAAAGTAAGAATAGTGTACAGATTCCAGAAAGAGATAATCAGTGCACCCTATAATGCACTTTCACATACATTGAAAAAAGTTCATATTTGTGGCAATAATGCGTAACATGGTTTTTTCAATGTATGTGAAAGTACATTAGAGTTTGCGATTGTAAACAGTTTTGAGCTACTGAATTGTGAACAGCACAGTAACAACGTACAGATTTTTGCTTTTTTTCAAGAATCACTAAAGGTTAAATCTCACTTTTTTTCTTTTTTTCTCAAAATCTGTGTTTGTCTGAAGAAGCTTTACAGCACAGTAAATACAGAACTACTGAGAAGTCAGAAAAAATAAATTAGGTTTTCAATATACCTATTATTTTAAGACATAAACAGATTTGTAGAGCACATAATTTGCTTACCAGACTTATAAAAATTTATATGATATTTTATTTTCACTTGAAGACTTAAATATAATTGCCCATTTTCTACAAAAGCTTTTTTGTAAAATATCAATATCATTTTAAAATGTTCATAATAGTAATTAACACCAGATTAATTAATTACTTATTCAAAGTGGCATTTGAAAGTTCGCCAGGAGTAATATATAATGACTTCTGCAAAAATTACTTTTTAATGAAGCAAGTTATAAAATATTATTTGGATTATTTGAAAAATTTCCCACACTTCTAGGATAAGAGTGATTGCTTTTTAGCTATAGTTACATACAACTACCAAAATTAGTTTTAACACGTTTAAGCAATAAACATTGGTTATATAACCATGGTAACAAGTAAACACCAGAAATGCTCTCTATTTTTTCTGATTGATCTATATTAATTCACATCAGTGAGCATACTTCTGAAAGACACCCAAATTTAGTCACAGCCAGCTTCATACTTTAATATCTAGACAGTCAGCATCAGACTTACTCCAGTGAACATGTTGCTAAGACTAATGTCAATCAAATAATGTCTCTGTAACCAATATCAAACATTCTTCTAAGGCTGTAGTCAACCTGCTTCCTTTCTATGACCAACTCAGGCAAGGACAAACTCCTTCCACGATCCTATGTAAGCAGTTTGGTGATAAGGCTCTGCTAGACCAACAATGTTTTATTGTTACTTATGTTGGTACTAAATTCAACTTTGCCTTTCTTTTTTAATATAAGTTTGAAGCTCATCCTCGGACAATTCTGGAAATTCTAGTTTGGTTGTTGTGGAAGTTTTCATTTGGCAGCATTTTATGGAACACTCAGACCAGCAGGTGTGCTCAATGAGTCTCTAGGCCCAAATTCCTTTTCTTCTTCAGATTTGCTGTCCAGCCTGTCTCAATAAAATTCTTGATGTCTTGTAAATATCTTCTTAGTGATTCTTGTTTTATTAGCCTAAAATTTGTAAGCAAACAGAACTTCGTGGTTTTAGATCTAAATAATAAAGTTTGCATAATTTAACTAAATCTAGGAATTTCTATAAGGCATTTGTATAATTACAACTTTTGGATTGGAAGTATACATTTTACTTAAAAAACAGACTTAAATGTTGTGAAATTGTATTATAACTTTTGTTAGTATGTGTCATTTATGTAAACTACTCCAGTCAAATTTGTCTCAATATAAGGATACCAGATTCTTTGGGTTTGTAGATTTGCAATTTGGCTATTTTTTAATTGCCATTAATTGGCTTATTTTTCTGCTGCTTGCTTTTATTTTGCTTTTGTTTAACAACTTTTACAAAGTATTATCTTATGGTTTTTATTTCTTTGTTTCCTTTATCTCAGATATTTTTGTGTCTGCTGAATGTCTAAGGGAGTGTTCTATGGAAAACAGGACTAATAAATCTCCAACTAATCCCAATTGTTCCAAGGACTAATGATTGACTATCCATTTAACAGATGACCCATTTGTGCAAAGGCAATTAATCAACTTTTCATCGAGTCTTATACAAAATGATCATGAGCACACTTTGCCTTGTAAATTGGCAAGAGTAGGTTAATTTTCTTTAGTCCATATTTAGGCATAAGTAACTCTTGGTATGTTGATCAACATACAGGTCCCTCCTAGATTGTCTTTAGTTAAAGAACCTGAGACATCCTCTGTAGGCACATATATTAGATTGACTATAATGCCCTTTTTCCTGTTTGTCATTGGTTCTTTATATCAAAGATAATGTCTTCTTTTGTTAACAATTCTATGCCTATATAAGGTTGTATGATGAAGATTAATACTGGACATCAGGAAGAGTAGATAACGGATTCTGGGCTTAATACCTAGGTGATGGGATGGTCTGTGCAGCAAACCACAATGGCACATGTTTGCCTATGTAACAAACCTGCACATCCTACACATGTACCCTGGAACTTAAAATAAAAAATTGTTAAAGATAAATAGTGGTTTAAATTGGTAAAAGTTAGAGGATTGACTTTGAAAAAAAATTGCCATTTTGGGAAATTTGGACATACCAAAATTATAAAAGAACTTATAAAAATAATGAAATGCAACAATAATTCAAAGTTCAATAGTTAACCACTTCAGTTGACTTTCTAAGGACTCAAATTCTGAATATTGAATCCAATATCTTTAACTTTGAAAACTCTTTATGTCATTTATGCTCAAATATTTTGAAAACTACTCATGCTTACTGTGTGTTTCACTACTTCTCTATAGCATCCGTTAAAATACTTCCATTTTTCCTGCTCTTTCTACTGACATTCTAAATGAGTTAATCTTTCTTCAGTCTTTTCCTAGGAAAATATTAACCATATTTTTATGACTATCAATGGTAGACAGGAAAAAGAAAATGTGGTACATATACAATTACATGTTAGACTTTGTGTCCCCACCCAAATCTCATCTTGAATTGTAATCCCCATAATTTCCATAATCCCTACAATGCCCATGTGTCAAGGAAGAGACCAGGTGAAAGTAATTGAATCATGGGATGGTTTTCCCCCATGCTGTTCTCATGATAGTGAGTAAATTCTCATGCGACCTGATGGTTTTATAAGGGGCTCTTTCCCCTTTGGCCAGCACTTCTCCTTCCTGCTGCCTTGTAAAGAAGGTGCCTTCTGCCTTCTGCCATGATTGTAAGTTTCTGAGGTCTCCCCAGCCATGCTGAACTGTGAGTAAATTAAAACTCTTTCCTCTATAAATTACCCAGTCTTGGGCTGTTCTTTATAGCAGTATGAAAACAGATTAATACACCATGGGATACTGTTCTGCAATTAAAAAAAAATAGATCATGGCTTCTGAAGGAACATGGATGGAGCTGGAGGCCATTATCCTTAGCAAACTAATGCAGGAACAGAAGACACAATACCACATGTTCTCACTTATAAGTGGGAGCTAAAAGATGAGAACACATGGATACCTAGAGGGGATCAACACACTGGGGCCTATCAGAGGGTGGAGGGCGGGAGAAGGGAGAGTATGAGGAAGAATAACTAATGAGTTCTGGCCTTCATAACTGGATGGCAAAATAATCTGTATTACAAACCCCCATGACACACAAGTTTACCTATATAACAAACTCGCACTTATACCCCTGAACTTAAAATAAAAGTTATATTAAAAAAATAATAGATATATTTTTATAAAATGTGTAACACTTAGCCAGGTGCAGTGGCCATGCATGTAGTCCCATCTTCTCAGGAAGCTGAGTGGGGGGGATCATTGAGCTAAGAAGTTTGAGTCTAAGCTGGGCAACATAGAGAGGCCCCATATCTTTAAAAAAAGCTTATACCAGGATCCTTGTTACATATATCATCTATCTGTCTAACTATGTATGTCTTGATAGATACACATTTATATAATACATATAGGTATTTTTATATAATATATGTATGGATACATCAGGAGAGTTTTATTGTGGGAATTGGCTCATGTGATTTTAGGGGCCAAGAAAATCCCATGATATGATCTCTGTAACTTGAAGGACCAGGAAATCCAGTGGTGTAATTCACTCTCAGCCTGAATGCCCGAGATCCAGGGGAGCCGATGATTGAAATAACTCCTAGTACAAGGCCAAAGGCCTGAGCACTGAGTGGGTGGCTACTGGCATAAGTCTAGAAGTCTGAGGGCCTAAGAACCAGGAGCTTCAATGTCTGAGTGCAGAAGAAGATAAACTGTCTCAGTTCAAGAAGGCAGAGGTGAAGAATCTGCCCTTTCATTGCCTTTTTGTTCTATTTGGGTCCTGGACTTATTGGATGATGCTGGCCCTCAGTAGTAAGGGCAGGTCTTCTTTACTCAGTCTGTGGATGCAAATGCTAATCTCTTCTCAAAATCCAGCACAGATACAACCAGAAATAGTGTTTTACCAATTATCTGGGCATGTCTTAGCTAAATGAGATTGACATATAAAATTCACTATTACAGGTCTGTATTTTTCCTATACCAGATTCTCACAATATCCATACAAGTTTGTGAACATACGTAAGACCGTCTCTTCCCAAGATTGTAAGAAAAATATTATTTTAACTGCCTGTAACAACTGATTATCACATTTTATGGAAATACTTTGTTCTTTATGCTTTGAATCATATTTTTCCTTCTGTTTAAAGTTATGGATTTATGACATTTTATCAAGTTCTTGTTATTACCACTAATAACTTGCCTAAATGTAGGCTTTATTTGGCACCATTAAAATGCTAGCTCTACAATTCAGCTCTTACAAGCTATTGCTACTGCAGACAAAAATTAACATAACTTGCATTACATTACTATTCCAAATAATTATACTATTTGCCAATAGCATAAACATGAAGGAAAATATCCTTACTCTAGAAAAGGGTAATACCTTTTTGAGGAAACAACATTGACTTATTGTTGTGGCAATACCTATAGAAGATATAGGTTGATTTTTTATCTTGGCAACACCTAGGTATCTACAGCTTCACTAAGATTGATTACGTTCCTTATGTAGCACCTAAATTCTTTCTTTTTCTCTCTCTCCTCTTTCTTTCTTTCTTTCTTTCTTTCTTTCTTTCTTTCTTTCTTTCTTTCTTTATTTCTTTCTTTCTTTCTTTCTTCCTTCCTTCCTTCCTTCCTTCCTTTTCTTTCTTTCTTTCTTTCTTTCTTTCTTTCTTTCTTTCTTTCTTTCTTTCTTTCTGTCTCTCTCTTTCTTTCCTTCTTTCTTTCCTTTCTTTCTTTCCTTCCTTCCTTCCCTCCCTCCTTCCATCCCTCCCTCCCTCCTTCCTTCCCTCCGCCTGCCCACCCTCCCTCCTTTTTCTCTCTTTCTTTCTTTCTTTCTTTCTTTTTTAAATTTTATTATTATTATACTTTAAGTTTTAGGGTACATGTGCACAATGTGCAGGTTCGTTACATATGTATACATGTGCCATGTTGGTGTGCTGCACCTATTAACTCGTCATTTAGCATTAGGTATATCTCCTAATGCTATCCCTCCCCCCTCCCTCCACCCCACAACAGTCCCCGATGTGTGATGTTCCCCTTCCTGTGTCCATGTGTTCTTATTGTTCAATTCCCACCTATGAGTGAGAACATGCGGTGTTTGGTTTTGTGTTCCTGTGATAGTTTGCTGAGAATGATGATTTCCAGTTTCATCCATGTTCCCACAAAGGACATGGACTCATCATTTTTTATGGCTGCATAGTATTCCATGGTGTATATGTGATACATTTTCTTAATCCAGCCTATCATTGTTGGACATTTGGGTTGGTTCCAAGTCTTTGCTATTGTGAATAGTGCCGCAATAAACATACATGTGCATGTGTCTTTATAGCAGCATGATTTATAACCCTTTGGGTATATACCCAGTAATGGGATGGCTGGGTCAAACGGTCTTTCTAGTTCTAGATCCCTGAGGAATCACCACACTGACTTCCACAATGGTTGAACTAGTTTACAGTCCCACCAGCAGTGTAAAAGTGTTCCTATTTCTCCACATCCTCTCCAGCATTTCTTTCTTTTCTTTCTTTCCTTCTTCTTTTTTAATTTTTTTGATTCAAGGTCTCCCTCTCTTGCTTAGACTGGAGTACAGTGGTGTGATTGTAGCTCACTGAGACTCCAACTTCTGGCTCAAGGAATTCTCCGCCTCAGCCTCCAGAGTAGCTGGACTACAGCCACAGGCCACCATGACTGGTTAATGTTTTAATGTTTTTTTTTTTGTGAAGTCTAGCTACATTGAGAGACCAGGCTATTCTCAAACTCTTGGCCTCAAGCAATACCCCCGCCTTAGCCTACCAAAGTGCTGGGATTACAGATGTGAGCCACTGCTCCAGGCTCCCTGAGTATTACAGGGAGTCTAAAGAAATATAAAATTTATTGGGGTGTAATAAATATCAAGTAGACAGATGAACCTAAGGACAGTGGTCCCATATGGAGGAGTTAACTTGAGCATCCTGAGCAACATAGTCTTCATTTTGGCTAACATCATACATAAGAGTTCTTTCCCTGGAAGCATATTAAGCTAGTTAAAATGCTTATTTTTAGATAATTAAATAACTTTGGATTTGTTCTGGCCAACCAGATGGATGTTTACACCATTGCTGGCACTTCTTGATCAATTTGGGTTAACACTAAATATCAGATGGAGCAATCTATGCTGAAAGAAAAAGCAATCTGATTGTTTTAGATAGATTGTTAGAGTGGTTGAGACTTTTTTTCTGTCCAAGTTTTCTCGTTCACATTTGGAAAATACTAGGTTACGGTTTCAGATTTTTGGCAGTCTCATGATATTTTAGTTAAACTTGTTGATACAATTGTTTTTTTAGATTGCTAAATGCTACTATGCACGTACTGTCCTTACAAATGATTCAAAATGACTCAAAGATGAAAACAGGATGGAATCATGTTGCTCAACATGAGCACTGAAAATCGGTGAAACAATACTTTGTCTTCAAGAAGAATTGATGATTCAAGAGACCTATTATACATCATGGTGACTATAGTTAATAACAATACATTGTACATTTGAAAATTGCTAAAAGAGTATAAAGCCTCTCACCACACACAAAAAAATGGTAAGCATGTAAGACAATGCGTATATTTAATTTCTTGATTTAGCCATTCTATAACATATTCACACATCAAAACACCACGTTGTATACCATAAATATGTACAAATTTTATTTGTTAATTAAAACGTTTTTAAAAGAAGAATCGGCAATAGTAATGAAAATCTGAATAAACTTTGTTGCTCTCTCATGCAGATTTTGTTGCACTGAGACCAGTGAGGGATTGAGAATATTAAAAAGTCCCTTTGGGAAGCCAAGGCAGGTGGATCACAAGGTCAGGAGTTCCAGAACAGCCTAACGACCATGGTGAAACCCCCGTCTCTACTAAAAAATACAAAAATTAGCTGGGCATGGTGGCGTGTGCCTGCAATCGCAGCTACTCAGGAGGCTGAGGCAGGAGAATCGCTTGAACCCAGGAGGCAGAGGTTACAGTCAGCTGAGATCGCACCATTGTACTCCAGCCTGGGCAAGACAGTGAGACTCCGTCAAAAAAAAAAAAAAAGTCCCAACACACTTAGACAGAGACTGTTTTACAACCATCGTAAAAAGCAACTTTCAAAACCGGTTTTAAACATGTCTAATAAGTCTATTTATTTCCATAATCAGAAAAACATTTAAACCTGAGAACTGGTTTTAACATCTAATTAATAAACAACTCAATTTAGTAAGCATAATTCTAAGAGCAACCAATCAGTGACGGCCTTATACTTTGCAAGTCAACTATTCAGCATTAGACTTACTCCTGCAAACACACTTTTAAGACTGATGTAATCCAACTCTTGCCTCTGTAACTAATATATAACATGCCTCTAAAGCTATCATAAGCCTGGCCCAGCCTCTGTGATCAGTACAACCTATCACAGTGCTTCTCTAAATCCTAGTGTAAGATCAATCCTTTGCTTTACATAGTGAGAGAATGTCTGCCATCATAGCTGTTCTTGTTTAAAAGTATTACACTCCAAATCACATTTTTAGTATTATAAATTACTGTCAGAAATACAGAGACTTAGAGTATCATCTGATAACTCTCAAAGAGTGAAATTATCCTATTCCAAAATCAGTGTGTGCATTTACATATATGTATATTTAATAATTCCATATTGACTGTAACATTGTAATGATTTTATACTTAGTAAATTTATTCATTCAACAAACACTATGTTATGTAGATTTTTTTGGTATAAAATATCCAGCTTAGTGCTGTGAAAAAGTCTTGCGTGAACAAGCCAGAGCCTTTTCTAGAGCATTACATTGCCAGTGAGAAAATTTAGGTCTAGCTTTCTCGGTGTTTACATAGGATGATGGTATATGCAAGGCTTTATTGGATGAAATCACAGCATTTTAAAAATTTGTGAAATTACAAGAATATAACTCTGCCAATAATAAATTACTATTTTCTGGTGATATAATGACTACTTTAAGTGTTCTGAGGAAAAATATCAGTATGTGCTGAAGTGCTTAGGAAAAGATCTTAGATAGAACTTAAACTGGTTCCAGAAATGTAGTTGAACTTCAGCTGACGAAGAACGGGTGAGTGTACAAGCCAGCTCAGACTAGTAGGACCTACCATGCTGCTAAGTCCTGTTCTAAAAGTAAGCCATGTGAGATTCCCATGTAGACAAACAGGACAGATCTCAGAAGAATCGCTGCATCTGTGATGTTTCTTTGGCTCATTATATATATGGACAAAACCACACCTTCTTTAAATATGAACCCCAGGGTAGGATCAGTTGTATTAGGAATTATTTTCAAAGTGCTCTAGTTCCTCTGTTATACGCCACAATGCACTTCACCCACTAATCTTGCAGAAACTATGGATTTTTGAAGGAGCCAAAGTTGAGCAGCAAAACACGATATGAATCTCCCTGACCAGGAACGTGAAGCAATGGCTCGATCCTCTACCGCATCATTATAGCATCAAACAATATATTCCACATTTTACCCAAATTCTATGTTTATCTTAATTCTTTATCCCAACCAAGAATCTTCAAAGCAGATTTAATGTCACTTTCTTTTTTCTAACTGGACATAATTTTTATCTAACTCATTTGTGCTCTATGTTTAGCCCTTTGATTTTCATAACATATTAGGCTATATAAGAAATATATTTCATGGCAAGACTATTCAAGACTTCTTCCCATTGCTTCTTTTCTTTTTCACTTGATTTTATATTTTTCTGTAAATAATTTGTATGTTCTGTTGGATTTTGAAGAGAAACTCTTTACAAAGTTCTGGAGTTCTGTTAAGAGGGATATTTGCTACTGAGCTTGTATCTAACACCCCTGGACAAGCCAGATAACAAGGACTGCTTCTGCTGTTTAAAATGCCAGTCAGTCCTTCACCTCTCACCACCCTTCAGTATGAAGTATCTCCAGCATTGTCTCCATCCTTACCCTGAGGAATTGACCTACTTATATGTACTTTGAAAAAATATACTTCAGGTTCATATATTGTTATTAAAAGCTAAACATAATAAATCATTCAACTATGCAATTTCCAGGCTACTGATTCTTTGCACAGTTTATTTGTGTTCAGGCATCTTATAATTTAGAAGAAGAAAAGATAAAACTCTTCACTGCAAAAGTTGCAGAGGATAAATTTTAACTCTGGGATAAAAATGGGTGTAATAATTTTTTTCCACATTGACTGCTATCGTGAATTTCAATTGCAATATAGTATATAAATAATAAGAAGGTAATACCTCATAGATTTTATTATTAGACTTCTGATACTAGGTAAATCTTAAAGCTATTTAGTGTTGATGTTCACAGTGTTTCAATATTGGTTAAATAATACTTTAGGTGCGTTTGTAACTTAAGACACTTCTTATCTATGTTCTGTTTTAATTCTCACAGTATGTGTTTGAGTGTTGATAATTTTATTTTTTTAAAAGAATGAATACATTCACTGAATTTCAGTAATCACATATCTTGCAAATGATTATACTGAGAATAATCCAGATTCTATTTTAGTCTCAGTGCTTGGCCACATAGGTCTTTTTAAGAAACATAATAAGTAGTAAAAAAAAAAAAAAAGGAATTCTAGAGGATAGCTTTAAGAGATCATGAATTTTAAAGAAAATATTTTCAGGAGGCAAGAAAGGAACAGATAGGGGTTAAGAAACAATCAAAGTGCCGAGTGCGGTGGCTCACACCTGTAATCCCAGCACTTTGGGAGGCCAAGACTGGCAGATCTCCTGAGGTCAGGAGTCCGAGACCAGCCTGACTAACAAGGTGAAACCCCGTCTCTACTAAAAATACAAAAATTAGATGGGCGTGGTGGCAGATGCCTGTAATCCCAGCTTGGGAGGCTGAGGCAGGAGAATCGCTGGAACGTGAGAGGCAGAGGTTGCAGTGAGCCAAGATCGCTCCACTGCACTCAAGCCTGGGTGGCAGATCAAGACTCTATCTCAAAAAAAAAAAAAAAAAGAAACCAAAAAAAAAAAAGAAAGGAAAGAAAGAACCAAAGAAAAATAAAAATTTTTTAATCAAACAATTTAAGAGGGGAAAAACACTATAATAATTTTCTTAAAGTGAGAAAAAAGCAATTAGAAAATGATCTAGAAAAGAAAGTTGGCTTCTTTTTCTCTCTCTAATTAGATGTTGCAAAAAAAATTCCATTTGTGATAACAATAAAAAGCTATTCAATCCTCTGAAACTTATTTACCAAGAAACATGTAATAACTTACCATGACAGAAAAGTTAAAATTTTGAGAGACCATGAAAGGTTTCCTAAATAACTAGAAATGTAGAAAATGTCACTAAGAGCAAAGATCAGATATAGCCATAAAGAAAAGAAACACCATAACATCTGTCTAAAATAACCTTAAAGATTACATGAAAAATTAAGACACCAGTGGGAATTATCACTATAGCATATAGTGTTTAGAAAGAGTAGAGACTCTCCAGCTTCAGATTAGAGAGATTTTTGAAAGGGTGTTTTAATAAGTCTGAATTTTAAGGAAAATGTTTTATTTCTAGTTCTATGGTAGGCCAGCATACCAAACATTGCATTGCAAATAATAACATAATTTGATGATATTTTCAACAAAAAGGGGAAGAAGGGACTTTTGCCATCCTCAAATGTTCATCCCTGTGCCTTTTTGTTTTTTGCTTATTTTATTTTCTTCCAGACATTCAGTACATGCAGGTTCTAAATTTGTTTATAGTACTGAGTTTAAACTCATCAGTGTCTCCCATGTAACATTTATTTAAACTTTAAAGGAGATAAATTATTGACTAGAGAGTATGGTACTCTAAAAATGGAAATTTGGTGTCTTAGTAATATTTCTTAGAACAAAGGATTCTTACTGGTACCCTTCAAATGAAATGAATCATTATGTGACTGCATCTCTTCATAGTAATCCAACTCCTGATATTATCTGATACAAACCCCTTGACTTTCTCATGATATTATGGTACAAACAACCTTACATTTGATTTTTAATGTTATTTCAGTCACCATGCAGAAATAAACTTGCTAATGTTATGGCTGGGGTTAACGTTAGAGCTGAATCTGCAGTCTCAGAGCCAACCTCTTCAAACTTTGAATAAATTTGCCTCAACATTGAGTGCTATAATGCTCTATTGTTTTCCTGAAGGAAGGAAAAAAGTAAAACTCTGACTTCAGTGCTACACAGCCAGCGGCCTCTGTAAGAGAGTGCCTTCATGGGGACTTGCTTAATGTGATACCGGTATTGTGCTGCCAGGCTGAGCTCAACTGAGGCTAAGAAAAGATCAATAGGAAGTTTAATATTGCCGAAGTGGAAAGTTTTTATTTTCTAGCTCCAGGAGCATTTGCCAAAGGGAAACATTCTAATAAGAATTAATTCAGAACATCATATATACCCCCCAAGTATAATATACACGTATTATGTACCTTTAAAAATTAAAAAAGAAAATGATCACAATAGCCAAAAATTTGCTGAAGTAGAGTTTAAATTCCAGCTTTTCCCAGGTGGTTCCCCATTATTCTACCTGAAGCCCTAGGCAGGATGATAGCCTGGGTCATGAGGACCTGAAGAAAGAGGAGGATTAAGCAACGCCAGCTCAGGGATCCTGGTCACCTGCAGATTTTATGTAGCTTTGCAGCAGGTGACTCCTGGACATCCCCAAACACAGTAAGAAATCGAGTTGTGTTCTCTCTGTTTAAAAATCATTTTGTTTTCTCTCTTTTTAGTTTAACTGACATTATTTAATTGATGCTACATTTGTTCTTATTGCCTAAAATAGTGTTTTTCAAATAGGAATGGTTTTAATATAATTTCCATGAATATATTATTTCTACTTCAAGTCTGTTTCTTCTAGAATTAGAAGGTATAAGTACTTTATTTATATTAAAACTAAAAGTTTACTATATGTAGGCCATAATTGAAGTTTGACATGACTGGTTAAGATGTGTGAAACAATAAAGACCATAAGCAATGAGATTTATTAAAAGGAATAAATTGATTTTAGTGCTTATTTGTTGGAGAGACTATCGGCATTTATGTCTTATGGACTTAGGTTCTTTGGAGACTTTGAAAGAAGTATAGGTGACACATCTTTACCTTTGAATTTCATTTTTTGGCTTTATAGTTATTAAATTAAAAACTATGAACAGAAAATAAAACTTGTAAATTAAAATATGTGTGTATATACATATGTATATATACACATAAAATAACACATAGCTATTTTAATTTAATACCTATACAATTCAATGTATATATAATCTTCTAAATTAAAAGAAAACCCACAAACTGATTAACATAAGCCTTTTTGATGTATAATTACTATATTTAAATTTTTATGTATATTTCGCTTGGTTATTATATTTTTTGTTACAATGAAATTCACAGAAAATAAAATCAGCAATTTTAAATGGGACAATTCAGTGGCATTTAGTACATTCACTATTTTATGTAACCAATACCTCTGCCTAGTTCCGAAATATTTTCATCTCTACAAAAGAAACCCCTATATACATTAAACAGTTATTACCCTTGCCTTCTTCCCCTAGTCCCTGGGAACCACCCACCTGTTTTCTGATTGACCCATTTTTGATATTTCATAAAAATGAAATCATGTAAGATGGGACTTTTCGTGTCTGGCTTCTTTCACTTAGCGTCATGCTTTCAAGGTTCATCTGTGTTGTAATGTGTATAAGTACTTCATTCCTTTTATGGTTGTATTGCGTAACACCATTTGTTTATTCCCATGTTGATGGACATTTGGTTTGTTTCCACCTTTTGGCTATTGTGAATAATGCTGCTGTAAACGTTTGTATACAAATATCTGTTTGAGTGTCTGTTCTTAATGCTTTTGGATATATATCTAGAAGTAGAATTGCTGGGACATATAATTCTGTGTGTGACATTTCAAGAAGCCTCCAAACAAATTTTTATAGCAGTTGAGCCATTTTACATACTTAGCAACATTTTAGGAATACTTTTTCTCCATATCCTTGCCAACACTTGTTATTTACCTTTTTTAGAAAAGTTGCTGCTATTCTAGTGGGAGTGAAGAGGTATCTTATTGTGCTTTTGATTTGAATTTCCCTAATGACTAATTACATTGGGCATCATTTCATGTACTTTTTGGCAACATGTATATCTTCTCTGGAGACATATTTATTCAAGTTTTGTCCATTTTTAAATTGTGCTGTTTCATTGTTGAATTGCAATAATTTTTTATATTTTCTATATACTAGGCAGTTGTTATTATTTTAGTAAATATTATTTAATTCTTTCAACTAGTAGCTTCATTTGCAAACTTGTGGTTTTCATTTAAGTCATTTTAGTATGGTATATTCTGTTAATATCTTTAATAATTTATTGTGAATGTTATTAATATAGGAGTACTTGATTTGAGATAGAATTTGAGTTAATTTGTATGAGAATTAAATTCTATAAGGTTTTGCTAACTATGGAAAGATTATGGTTGGATATTCCCTGCTTAAAGAGGCAGACAAATTAGATAATATTTATGGAATTATGTTTTCAATTATCTATTTCTGTTTTCTTAGTATATTTTTCATCAGTGAAATTGTATACCTGCTTCTAGCAAAATAATGATGGTTGAATGAGTAGGTGAATGACTGGGAGGATGAAATACTAATAAAAATCTCTTAAATATATTATGCGTGTCTTTGAGAAGTTCTACAAATAACTTTCTTATTCTACTGGACTTACTATTTTTTTTTTTTTTGCCAAAGTTGTTACCCATGAACATTTAAAAATAACTTACCTAATGTTATGACTATGACATTATACGTATATAAAGATATATTTTAAATGGCAAACCATCCTTTTATCCCAATAATAATGCCCACTTGATTGTGGTGAATTAAATTTTTGATGTGCTGCTGCACTCAGTTTGCTTTGTTGAGGAATTTTGAGTCTAGGTGTATAAGAGATATTGGCCTATAGTTTCATTGTTGTTGTTGTTGTTGTGTCTTTGCCAGATTTGGTATCAGGATGATACTAGTTTCATAGAATGAGTTAGGAAGGAATCTCTCCTCTATTTTTTGAAATATTTTAAGTAGGATTGGCACCAGCTTTCCTTTGTACACCTGGTAGAATTCAGCTGGGAATCTATCTGGTTCAGGGCTTTTTTGGTTAGTAGGTTTTTTATTAATGACTCTGTTCAGGATTTCTGTATCTTCATGGTTCAATCATGGAAGGGTGTATATTTCCAGGAATTCATCCATTTTCTATAGGTGATCTAGTTTGTGTGCATGGAGATGTTCATAGTAGGCTTTGAAGATCTTTTGTATTTCTGTGAGATCAGTTGTGTGTTACCTTTGTCACTTCTGGTTGTTCTTATCTGGATATTCTTTTTTTCTTTGTCAATTTAGCTAGTGATCAATAGATCTTGTTTATCCTTTTAAATAACCAATTTTTCATTTTTTTAATCTTTTGTATGGTATTTTGGGGTCTCAATTTCATTTAATTCTGCTCTGATTTTAATTATTTCCTTCCTTCTTCTAGCTTTAGGTTTAGTTTGTTCTTATTTTTTGAATTTCTTTAGATATAAAGTTAGGTTGTTAATTTGAGATCTTTCTCCTTGATGTAAGTATCTAGCACTGCAAACATTCCTCTTAATATTGTTTTTGTCAAATCTTAGACGTTTTGTATGTTGTGTCTCTATTTTCATTTGTTTCAATTTTTTTTTTAATTTCTGCCTTAATTTCATTGTTTACCAAGAAGTCATTCAAGTACATGTATTCCTGTGATTTTTGAGAGTTCTTCTTGGTATTGATTTCCATTTTTATTGCATGTGGTCCATGAAGATGGATGGTACAATTTTAATTTTTTGAATTTGAGACTTGCTTTATGACTGAGCATGTGGTCAGGCTTAGAGTATATTCCATGTACAGATGAGAAGAATGTACATTCTGTGATGGATAAGTTGAGTATCTGTATATACTGTAGATGTCTATTAGGTACAGCTAGTCAAATGTTGAATTTAAGTCCAGAATTTCTTTCTTAGTTTTCTGCCTCGACGTCTAATGCTATCAGCAGGCTGTTGAAATACTATGATATTATTGTGTTGCTGTCAAATTGTTTTCATGGGCCTAGAAGTAATTGTTTTATAAATCTCGGTGTTCCAATGTTGGGTGCATATACATTTAGGATAATTAAGACTTCTTGTTGAGTTGAACCCTTTATGTAATGCCCTCCTTTATCTTTTTTTACTGCTACTGCTTTATATATTAATAATGACTCTTACTCATTTTTGTTTTCTTTTTGCATGGTAGATCTTTATTCCTTTATTTTGAACCAATGGGTATCATTATATGTGAGATGGGTTTTTTGAAGCTGCTTTTCTTTTTTTTTTTCATATAGAAAATCAAATTTGTGCTTCTTTTAAAATTTTTGAATAGATGTAAATATAATATGATTGACTGGAAAGCCTTTTTGTGTTTTAGAATTCCCCAAATTATATACTTTCTTAAAGTATGACCTATGCAGAGATTTAGATCTCTTTCACCAGGAATATCAATGAAAATGCCCAAACAGGAGTTAGGATGAAGTAATACTTTACAAGAAGTATGTGTTGTAGAAAATTATCTTTTGGGTAAACTTCTGAAATATATCTGGAAATACTAAGATTAGTGCAAGTGAATAATTAAGAGTTAATTTTGTATATAGTTTACTAAAAAGCTCATAAATAAATTGTCTTTCACTGTAAATTAAACTACATCATGTTGAGAAATATCAGAGCAAAATTTGGTTTTATATAACTTATTTAAAAAACTCAATTAAGCAACTTGCTATTACAAAGCATGTTGTTGAAACACCACAAGAGTTAAAAACCAAAGGAAAGAAAATATCCATGATATACCCAAATCATAAAGGATTCTCATACGTGCAGAAAGAAAAGAAAAATGTGATTAGGTTCAGACTCAGATATGTTTGTCATAGTGAAAGTTTAGTGAAACTGATCAATCGAGAGTGAGACTGATATTGGATAAAGTAAGATTTTGAAAAAGATTCATCAGAGTTGAAGAAGAGGTGATTAATCCTAGGTAAATATTAAACCTAGGGCTTCATCCAATAAATCGTTATATTGTCATTCATTTCTTAGTAAATAACAGTTATTTGAAAATTGTAATGCTTCTGGTACTGTTTATACTTATATTTTTAGATATAATGGAAATTCAAGGAAGTTTCCAAGAATTTTTCTTAATAAACTGGCTCTCTGCATGTGTGCTAAATATATGGCTTTTATGATTCACTGTTAAACACAGAGGCAAAAGCCAATGGCCTTCTGTGTGCCTTTTCTTTAAGCAAAATTTTTAGTTGGACACTTTTCTTGCATTTTTGCTTCACAAGGTATAGTCTTCTGATAAGTATGCTCCTTCTTTGAAGAAATTCACACTGCTGACCTTGCAGTCTTCTGCTGTGGAAGGGCTGCCACTGGCAACTGCAGACTAATACTAGCTCAAACCTCGTTGTTTTTGATTAAGGTCTTGAGGTTAGAAAAATGTAATTTGTACCCTACAAGGTAGAATAGAAAGAACATGACAGCAATTAATCCTTTTCTTGCTGATAAGAATGATAAAATACCCCCTGTTGCCTACAATATCTTTGTTAATATTCCAAAAGACAAATTTTTCTTCATGTTTATTTATAAATAACTATTTTTCATAACTTTTAAGTGTTTAATATAAAACTTTATTAAGCACTTTGAAAGACCAGGAACATGTCAATATTATTTTTGCAAGAGTTATTTGTGAAAACTGAAATGATTATGTATAATGAAACATAATTTTAATGAAACATAACCCCCCTATACATGTATATAAAAATGGCAAATATATTTTTGCAGGTCCATTGTGTATTACAAATTTGGTAAGTTCAGGAATTCCAATAAAGAGCAAATCAATCTGATACAGTGAAGCTATTAGCATATTTAATTTAAAAGTCATCATTTTACCTAGATTTTTAAACTTAGTGTGTTTATGTGTTGTTAGCTTCACTTACCTATGTTACTCTCAGGTCTCACCAATTTGGTTTCAGTGTAAATTATCTAAACTTTATTAATTAGAAAATGCTTTGTATGGCCTCTGGTCTGGCAAAGTGGAGGAATTACAGGTACTAAAATAATGACATATTCCACTTTTCTCTAATCTACCTGTATGTTCCAATCAAACTCAACACTCAACGATATATGCAATTCAAAAAAATGTGCAATTATTGAACAAAGAAGGACAATTAAAGAAGAAGCGCCAAGGTTAACATACCCCAATAATTCTGCTCTTGGCAAGATATAAATATTTTGGGGACATGACAAGGGCATTCTCTTTGGATGTATATGACTGATAACAAAATCTCTGTGAGTACATTTATTGCTCATAAATTTCTTGTGATTGTTAACCATCAAACTTCTTGTACCAGAAGAAGCCAAAGAGATCATTTTGAATGTCCGAATACTTCACAGAAATGAAGGATTTCACTAATCACTGTGGGCCAAACACATGACAGGAGCTCTGTCTTACAGCTTTTAAATTACACGATTCACATTTTTCTATCTCCTCAATGACTATTGCATCATATGTGGAATATAATCCCCCGTAACTTATTAATGTCTAAGATCTGCTCAGAAAAATTAAAGATTATTGTGAGTTAAACAGATGTAACCTGTTTTGGAGCAAACTGTGATTTAAAACATAAAAGAAAATCTCAAAACTGAAGGACGATCCTAAAACTAGGAATTGAAATATTCCTATAGCTTACTATTCTTGATAAATTTAAGTGTTTCTTCTCTTTCACCATAGTATTTTTTCATTTTTTTAGTATTGTTGCAGTTATGATTTCTTTTTATTATTATTATTATTATTAGTATTAGTATTATGATGATACTTTAAGTTTTAGGGTACATGTGCACAGCGTGCAGGTTTGTTACATATGTATACATGTGCCATATTGTATTTTTAATTCATAAACTCATTGCTATGTACTTAATTGTGTCTCTGCAAAATGTATATAATGAAGCTCTAATCCCCAGTGTGATAGTATTTGGAGATGGAACATTTTGGAGGTAAGTAGGGATAGATGGCACAATGGAGTGGGGCCCTCATGATGGAATTAATGGCTTTAAAATAAAAGGAAGAGAAAGATCTCTCTCTCTCTCTCTCTCTCTCTCTCCCTCCCCCGCCACCCCTCCCCATGTGAGGACACAGCAAAGAGGCAGTCATCCAAAAGCCGGGAAGAGACCGTCACCAGCAATCAAATTGACAAGGACTTTGATCTTCGACCTCAAGTCTCTAGGACTGTGAAAAATAAGTATCTGTTGTTTAAGCCATCTAGTTTATGGCATTTTGTTATAGCATTCTTAGAAGACCAAAAATATTGCTCCCCTTCCTTATATTCAGGAAGAGATAACCACAAACAAAAGTCATAGTAAATATTGCCAAACATGGCTTGGAGTATCATTGTAAAGTAGGAGGCTTAATAGGAAAGATAAGAAAATAGGTATTCAAATATGGGCATAATTATTCTTGATAATTTCTGAATTCAGAAGAGTTAAGTCCATTAATGTTAAAGAAAGTGTTTCCTCCCCTTTACAACTCTGAAGATTATGAATTTATCTCTAATGTGGATTAAGAAAGAATGATGAAAAAATATCAGTGACTGGTTTTATCAAAAATAATAAAGAAAATGTGGTATATATACACAAGGAAATAGTATTCAGCCATAAAAAGTATGGAAATCTGTAATTTGCAACAACATAGATGGAACTGGAGGACATTATGTTAAATGAAATAAATGAGGCACCCAAAGACAAATTTTGCATGTTTTTAATCATATGTGATAGATAAAATTTTTTTAATTGAACTCATGGAGATAGAGAATAGAATCATGGTTACCAGAAGCTGAGAAGGGTAGTTGGGAAGGAAGGATAAAGTGTGGATAGTTAGTGGGTACAAAATATAATTAGAGTGAATAAAATCTAGTATTTGATAACACAACAGAATGACTGTATTTAATAATAATTTATTGTATATTTTAAAGTTACTAGAAGAGTGAAATTGAAATGTTCCTAACACAAAGAAATGATAAATGCTTGAGGTCATAGATACTCCAATTGCCTGGATTTGATCACTACACATTGTATGCCTGTATCAAAACAACACATTTACCCCATCAATACGTGCAACTATTAGGTACCCATAAAAAAGTTAAAAATAAATCCAAATAAAGAACATCTTATTATCTATATACCATATAGAAATCAAGTTTATTAAAACAGGCTTAAACATGAGTAGCAAATTTATAATAATAATTTTTAGTTGGTGACTACAAGCACTACCTTTGCTCTTTCTGAAAATTTCAGTCACATCTCTGCTCTGCTTTTCATGCTTTTCTGAGAGTGCCCTGGATTTGATCTTAAATCATGAACTTTTTTTTTTTTTTTTTAAGCTTAGAATCTTTTACCCTCTTGAGAGCCTGGGAATCTTCAAAAACAAGTCATGTTTCCTTTGTTTTAACAGTACTTGCTTTATATTATCTCTCGCCTGTCATCTTTATTCTAATCAGCAAGTAGGAACCAAGGCAGCACTTTAAAAAATCTTGTCGAAAATCATCTTAGCTAGATTATCCAGTTCAGTAGGGGAATTTTCCACGTTATATATTACTTTAGCTAGTAGTATTGATAAAATAAAAAAGAAACAGATCATTCTACAATCATAGTAATAGATCTTAATTGCTCTGTATTTAACATACAGGCAAATATTACCATGTGAATGTGCCATTCATTGAGTTTCATATAGCATATTTCAAGAGGAGAATATTTTCATAATCCTGAAGTATTTTCTTATGCCCTCCCTCCCCAGCCCGTGTCCCCTAACTTTACCATCCCAGATGACAGATATGATTTTATGATCCAAGCTATTGTTGTTCAACCCAGTATTTTATACAAATGGAATAATAATGTATGCACTTTTTTGTGTTACTGTGTTTCAACTACCATAATGTTTTTGAGGGTTGTCCTTCTCATTAGATGCATCACTATTTTTAAAATTTTTATTTTACTTAAATGGGGAGTAAATCTTCAATTCAATAATGAATTGTATGACTATAAAATAGCTTGTTAAATTTTTTTTTTAATGAACATCTTTTTCCACTTTTTAAATACAATGAATAAAATTTCTATATTCTTTCTGTTGAAATATATTTTAATTTCTCTTGAATAATTACCTAAGAGAATTTTGGAGTCATAGGCTTTATACATGCTTAACTTAAAAAAAAAAAAACGCCAAGAAGTTTTCTAAATGTTTGTATCATTTTACATTTCTACCAGCAATGTGTAAGAGTCCTGTCTGCTCCTTTTGATTGCTGACACTTGGTATTAGCAGTCTTTATTTTAGACATTCTGATGCTTATGTATTTGTATTTTACTGTGGCTTGATTTTGGATTTCCTTGATGACTAATGATGTTGAGCAGTTTTACATGTGATTATTTGACATTCGTTTCCTTTTGTAAAGTTTTAATACTTTTACCTATTAATTTATGTTTGTATTTTTAATGAGTTGCAAGAATTTTTCATAAATTTTAGAAAAAGTTATTTGTTAGATATATGCAAGTATTTTCCTTGTCTGAGTCACATATTATTTTCTTGATGTTTTCTAAAGACAAAAATTTTAAATTTTATATCACTTTTATTTTTTATGTGCACTCTCTACAATCTAAGAAAACTTAGCCTGAGCCAATATTGCAAGATATTATACCTTTTCCTCTAATAATATTTTTGTTTGTTTTACTTTATATTATATTTTACCTTTATGCCCATCAATCTCATTTAATTGTTTTATTGAACATAATACTTGTATGTATTAATGGGGTACACATAATATTTTGATACATGCATACAATGTATAATGATCAAATCAGAGTAATTGAGATATCCATTACCTCAAGTATTTATCATTTCTTCTGTTGGGAACATTCTAAATATTATTTTCTAACAATCAATTCTTGTTGTTCAAGAATGTTATATAATGTGAAGTTGGACAATTTATTTTTTCTACATGTATAGTCAATACATATGTATGTACATGTTATTCAAACAGCATTTATTGTAAAGATACTTATTTTTTCATTGAATTATTTGGTTTACTTGTCAAACAACATATCATGTACATATGGATCTATTACTGGGCTCTCCAGTTCTGTTTATTTCTTTTTATATTTTTTTACTAATTTAACACTGTCTAGATTACTGTAGCTTTAAAGAAAGTATTAAAATCTGGTAAATTAAGTCCACAAACTTGTTTTTCTCAATCAAGATAAGTTGAGCTGTTATTGGTTCCTTGTATTTATAAGTAAATATTTAAATTATCTTGTACATTTTTCTATATGAAGACGGCTAGAATTTTGATTGGAATTGTGTTCTGCAGATAGACCTATTTGGGGAAGAAATTATATCTTAATAATATTTAGTCTTTCATCCTGCAAATTTTCTCAACGTTTTGTTTACAAAGAATAATTATGCATATATTTTACTACATTGGCCCTAAGTGATGATTTAGTTCCTACATAAATTATTTTTAAAATTTTAAAAACATTTATAAATAATGCTTTTTAGTTATACACCTGCACTATTCATAACCACAAATAGGATACAAGTAATATTCCATCAACAGTTGATTGAATAAACTATGATGTATTCACATTATTGAATACTATATAGCAAAATAAACATCTAAGTTGTGACTTTGTAATTATACTGGTCAACCTGGGTGTAAGGTTTAAGAAATGGAAAAATGAAAATGGGTTCTGGCACTCAGTATTCTCTTTATTGATTTTAAAGTTGATTATATAATTGCATATAGCTGATAAAAATTCATTTAGCTCTTCATATAGTCATATGTCTTCTCGTTTGTATGTGTATTATACTTAAAATGTGTAAAGGTCTTCCGATATGTATATAGAAATACTTCCTCCTCATGTTTTCATATCTATTTGTATACAAATATGCTAGTTTTTTCCCATCTTAAAAAATCTTTTTCTCTATTTATTTTCTCCCCTCTTTGATAATAGAGATGTCTGTATTTGTTATCTTTACCATTATTAAGTCTTTAACCTAAAGAAGTGTGGCTTATATCCATGTCATATCATTGAAACTGTATCTGTCATAGCTTTCAAAAACTGTCTGTTAAATAAATCCATGGTCTCTTTCACTTCTTTATTATCAGTTTAATTAGCCTCATAATACTTTCTCCTTTTGGAAATACTCTCCTGTACTGGCTTCTATGACAACACTGGAAGCATCTGCTCAGTTAATTTTGCTGGGTCCTAACCTTAATCCAACTTACAAATGAAGGAGTACTCCCAGGTCCTCTTCTTCTCTCTACTCTGATCTTTCCCTAGATAATTTCACATAGCTTTAACTATTATCCATATGCAAATGAACCTCTTAATATATATCTCCAGCTCAGTCTTCTGTCTTTTTTTTTTTTTTTTTTTTTTTGAGACGGAGTCTCGCTCTGTCGCCCAGGCCGGACTGCGGACTGCAGTGGCGCAATCTCGGCTCGCTGCAAGCTCCGCTTCCCGGGTTCACGCCATTCTCCTGCCTCAGCCTCCCCAGTAGCTGGGACTACAGGCGCCCGCCACCGCGCCCGGCTAATTTTTTGTATTTTTAGTAGAGACGGGGTTTCACCTTGTTAGCCAGGATGGTCTCGATCTCCTGACCTCATGATCCACCCGCCTCGGCCTCCCAAAGTGCTGGGATTACAGGCGTGAGCCACCGCGCCCGGCCCCAGTCTTCTGTCTTGAATTTCAGGCTCATATTATTAATGTCTTACTTGATATTTCTAATTTGTGTATACAGTATGTATATATTAATAGATGCAGACACAAATTTACACATTTATATTCATACACACACACACACACATAAACTGGGCTCAACTACCAAAATCTATTACATTTATAGTGTCTTCTGTCTTATTAAATCATATAACATCCGTCATCAGTTGACTTAGCCAATAATCCAATAAGCGTAATTATTTTTTCTTTTTTCTTAATACTCGCAGTCAACAATGGCATAGGTGATGATACAAAATAAACTGAGTGAATACATTCTACTCTATCCTTTAGATAATCATTAGCACTCTGTCAGTGATGACATTTATTGTGTTGATACAATGTACATTTCAAATTGATGCTAATATCATTCATGAATATTAGCATGTTTATTTCAGCCTTTAGCCTATATTGTTCAATAAATAATGAGTAAATGACAAATAAAGGTACAGAATGACAGAAAAACAATCATATTACTTTGTTCTCTTCCTTTGAAAAGAAAGGTCCAGATTCATCATCGCTATCTTTCATGGGTACAGAATTTTTCGGTATGGTGCCCTTTTTATTTGTTCTGTATAAGCTTGAATCAACAGTAAAGATTTGTTTGAACACATATACACCACATAATCCAATTATTTCTATTCTATGCTCAACACTAAAACTACTTAATGAGAAGTTTTAAGTCTTTTGCAGTACTTTGGAAGAGCACAGTAACTTAATGCATTAAGTCCTGAATATGCAGTCATAAAAAGATATGACTGTTCATGTGCATAAATATATATGCATACATATACAATCACAAAGGGATAGGCCCCTCTTGTTCAGAATTATGTCTAATATGTATTAGTTACTTATTTAAAAATGAAATTTAATTTTAGCTAGAATTGCACTGACATTTCATAGGGAATTTTATTGAATTACCTTTGATAAAGAAAGAAATTCCTATTTTGAAAAGTGATAAGCTACATAATGTTAACAATAAATGGAATATAAAAGAAGTTAAAGAGGTGTGGGTTTTTACTCATCTGTACATTTTCAGGAATCTCCTCTCTCACAGGCCAAAGAGTTTTCACTCAACCTGAAAGAAAAATCTAGCATATAATTTAAAAACTTTGGCCAGGAGAGCGTTAGTACAGATTTTTCTAGATCAGTACCTGAACATCATATGGTCAGGCTAAGAAAAATCAATCAAATAAAATATTACAGCAGAAGAATGTAAGACAACAGTAAATGTTACTGAAGATACACAATAGCTAAGAACAACATAGTCAACAACAAATAAAAACTCTTTTTGCAGTGGAGACCTATAAATGTAGGTTAATATTATTGACGTAACTACAAATAACAAATGCATACTTACATTTTGAATTATAAAACATTCCACAATCTAAAGTATCTAATATTAAAGTATATATATTACAAATTACAGTGAATGACTCATTATTTTCAAGACTATCTCTTAATAATGACATTATATTATGTGTGCTATTAATAAAATAATATATCTGTTTTTTAAAAGACAAGTATTTGTTATTTTTGAAATTAAAAAAAGGTGTTACTAGGTAAAAACAGTAAATGACTAGAAATACTGAAACAAACGTTATTTGGTATGAGATGCAATGGAGTTGGCAACAAGATAGGAAACATAAAGAGATGATAAATAAAGACTGCTAGAAAATAATTTGGTTCAGTAGGGGAGAAAATTAAATTAACCACTGAGAAGAAAAAGAAAGAAGTTTCTTCTTCATAACGTTCAGCATTATTGAAAAATCAATGAAAGCTATGTGTAGAACCTAGTGATTACATCCAATCCCAATGTGCATTAATTATTGTTTATCTAGGGATAGGGAAGTAGTAGGCTTGTATACCTTATTGTGCTCTCTTGGCTGTTTAAAAAAGAATTAGACATCAAGACAGAAAAAGAGTTCTTAAACAAGAAATAAAAAGAAAGACAGACTAATTCAGTTGCATAAAAATAAAACAACTTCTCTTCTTCAGTAGATTTAGATTTAATTAAGTAAACCAGGAAATACAAGCCATAAATGTAGAAAAGTATTGGAAGTTCAGATATGCAAGAAAGACTTACTAACTAAAAAATATAAGGAAATGCTACAAATTACTACAAAAGGGCAAAGACAATAAGTGGTATAAAATATAAACTGAACAGAACCTGAAATAAAAATTGTCAATAAATATACATTTTAAAATGTTAACTAGCCTAGTATTAAAAATATAAATTCAATTATTAAGTACATGTTTTTATCCATCTTTTCAAATCAAAATCTGACATTACCTTGTTTTGGAAAAAATTTGAAACTATAGCACTCATACATTGATGATAGAAGTTAAATTAGTGCAATCACTTTAAAGGGCAAGTAATTTGAAAATGTGCCTCTCCTATGTACAAAAATTTACTCATAAAGAAACACAGATTCTTATGTCAAGGAAAGATTAAGAATGTTTATACCACCATAGTTTGTAATTTAAAAATATATAATTATCTATAATGAATAAATTAATAACAGTATATTATAAAATTGAATATATATAATAGTGAGAATGAATGATCTAGGAAAACACATATAGGCATTAATAATTTTCTCAGATAAAAATGTTTAGGCCAGGCACAGTGGCTCACGCCTGTAATCCCAGCACTTTGGGAGGCCTAGGCAGGTGGATCACAAGGTCAGGAGTTCGAGACTAGCCTGCCCAGCATGGTGAAACCCTGTCTCTACTAAAAATACAAAAAAATTAGCTGGGCGTGGTGGCGCGTGCTTGTAGTCCCAGCTACTTGGGAGGCTGAGGCAGGAGAACTGCTTGTACCCGGCAGGTGGAGGTTGCAGTGAGCCAAGGTTGTGCCACTGCACTCCAGCCTGGGTGACAGAGCGAGACTCCATCTCAAAAAAAAAAAAAAAAAAAAAAGGGTTTAAACGCACACAAAAATACTTATATATTTTAGGGATAAGTACATACGTAAGAAATAGAAACACGTAATGAACATCAAATTGATAATGCGGATTCAAGTTTCGTTTTAAAATGGATGGGGTTTACCTGTTATTTTTGACAAATGATTTTTCACGGTAAATTCAAAAGTAAATTTAAAAAATTGTTGGCATCTCATAAGAAGGAAATCAGCAAATCATTCATCCATTTGACTTCAGTTTGGTTTTCCTCCACGGTGCTGCTTATATAAATCTATTTTTAAATAAATCTTAGTACACAGTTGAAAATGTCGGTATTCTGTCTTTCAACATTAACTGTAATGTCAGCTGAGGGTTTTTCCTAGATCCTATTTATCTATGTGAGGAAATTCTTTCCATTGCTCTTATATTGAGTGTTTTTATAATGAAAGTGTATTAGTTTGTCTAATGCTTTATATGAGTCTACTGAGATTATCAGGTTAACTGTTTATACTCATTATTTGATCTTATCAGATTTTAAATTTCTTTTTTAGTCCATTTTGGTATTTGATATCTTTCTCAGAATTTATCAGTTTCATCTAAGTTTTCTAATGTATAGGCTTATTATGGTTCATAATATTCTCATAATCTTTTAAAAAAATTTTGTAAGATTGATAAAAGATGTCTCCTCTTTCATTCCCAATTTTGGAAATTTGAGTCTTTCTTCTCCTCTTTTTCTGTCATTCTAGCTAAAAGTTTTTCATTTTGTTTATCTTCCAAAGAGACAACTTTTACTCTCATTGTTTCCCTCTTAATGTTTTTATATATTTTACTTCATTTATTTCCAATCTAATCTTTATTATTTCCTTTATTTTTACTTTGGATTTATTTTGTTTGTTATTTTTCTAGTTTCCTAAGTTGTATGTTTAGGTTGTTTATTTAAAATTTTACTTCTTTTGCAATATAAACATTTACCGCTATAAATTTCCCTTTAAACACTGTCTAGAGGCATCACTTAACTCATATTGTGTTTTGGTACAATCATTTGAAAATATTTTCAATGTTTTCTTCTAATATGTTTTTTACTCATTTGTTAATTTTTGTTAATTTTGGTGAATTTCCAAAGTTCTGAAAAAAAGTTGATTTTGCCAGATTTTGATAATGTTCTCACTGATTGTATAGATTTGTAGATTTTCAAAAGTTGTCACTCTATCAGTTTGGAAGTGTTTACAATGATATAGTCTAAAAGAAAACTATATTTTTGGAGGGGGCATTCTAAATTCTAAAACATCATGTTTCCTGAGAAATTTATGTGAGGTTTCTGAAAAGCTTTCAATATTTGGGGGCTTTTTTGTTTGCTTGCTTTTTATGATTTCATTTATCATAACAGAATTACTGCTGTTTCATTTGTCACTATATCTCAGCTAAAAATGTTAATATTTTACTTGAATATCAGTTGATGTAATTTCACTGCAGATGTGGTAAAATTTTAGAAAAAAATGAACACATTTTTATCTTTATATAATTTTAAAACATTAAAGTAATTTTAAATAAAAGGCAAAAAGATATTATCAATATATTTCATTTTAGAATTTAAAACTTTGAATTATAATACTACTCTTACTTGTATCTATTACTATTAGAAGAAAATTATTTGGAGAATTATAAGGTTATTGTCCATTAATTTACTAATATAAAAAATATTAGTCTGGTTATTGCATCAAAGAAGAGTAAAAACACTTCCCAGGTAATAACAATTGTAAGCAAAATTGATGGCAGTATTGGACAATATATAAATGAACACAGAGTCTTTACTTTGATTTTGCTGAGAAATATACATTTTCAAAAGCTGATTTAGTTATAATATTAATTATTTTAAATATGGTATTGCATATTTTATCAAAGTACTTCGTAAAGTAGATTGGATGATTGATTCTGATTTTTGAGTATTTTTTTCTTACTTTTCCAACTAAATTATACTGATATTTTATATATTAAGGATTTTGATCATGAACTCTTCCATTTATCTATGAGCCCTTGGGAAAATCGTGAACCTTTATTTCTTTAATTGTAAATTCAGAAAAAATACAGTCACTGCTTTATCTAATAAAGCATGGGCTTATTAGATAACTAAAACATACCAAGATTGCTTATAAAAGTACCTTAAATGTGGAAGAAATATATTAATTATTATTACTAGCAAATCAACTACTCACTTTCTTGCCTCTAACACACCTTCTCATGAAGCTAAAACAGAACAAATTTTACTTCAGTTCAGAATTTTGTTTTCATAAACTTACAGTTACCAAAATTAGAATATTCCATATTAATCCTTAAGAAACCCATAAAAAGGTTACCTAAAGACTGTTTATTTATTTTAATATTCTTATCATGAATTTTTTTTACCAATTAGAAGTTCAACTTAGACAAAGATGGACTCTGTTTACACTGTTAAGATTAATTCTACAAAAGCCAATGATTGCTATGAAATGAAACAAGTGTGCATATTCTGTAGTAAGTGTTTATTCTGGATTAAAAATTGATTAATAAAAAATAGATCACTAATTTATTTATCAAAAATGTCATCAGTTTTAAATATCTAAGCAATTATATGAAGAAGAAGTATTGACATAGAAGATGCTTGTGATGTCATTTGAAAAGTATGCTGACTCAAGATTAAAACCACATCTCTCTTATCACACAAACATTGATGAAAGTAACTCAGATTTGGCATTGAGACATTAGTTCTGACACCACCTCTGCTAATACTGTATGCTTGGCTTTCATGAAAGGTTAAACGAAACAAGATTTAACCTCATGAAAGTCATGAAAGTGTTATTCTTTAAAAACAGCTCTAAGGTATATGCAATATAAATAAAACTATATAAAAGCAAAACATTGGGAGGCCGAGGCGGGCGGATCACGAGGTCAGGAGATCGAGACCATCCTGGCTAACACGGTGAAACCCCGTCTCTACTAAAAATACAAAAAATTAGCCGGGCGTGGTGGTGGGCGCCTGTAGTCCCAGCTACTCGGGAGGCTGAGGCAGGAGAATGGCATGAACCCAAGAGGCGGAGCTTGCAGTGAGCCGGGATAGCGCCACTGCAGTCCAGCTTGGGCGAAAGAGTGAGACTCCGTCTCAAAAAAAAAAAAAAAAAAAAAAAAAAAGCAAAACAAAGGATAGTAATGATAGATGGGCCATTCTGTCCTTTCCGTTGCTAGTAATCAAATAAGATAAAAAAATTTTTAAAGTTTTTCTGAAGCCACAGAGAGCTAATATGTAGAGAAAACAATTGGAGAGGTAAGCCTTGGAGTTAAGACCACTTTTATCCTGAGAGATTACAGCAATTCCAAAAGAAATGTCTAACAAGCTGACCACAGCTATTAAAAGAATCTGTGAACTAAGGAGATAGACTCATGGGTTCAGGGTCCTCAAAGAAAGGAAATATTTCAGTTTCCTGTGTATTGATTTGAGATCCAAAGAGAAGCAGACAAAAATTGATAAATAAATAAATCATTAAGGATACAGAAGATTTTCATCACCCAATTAAAAAACTGCTTTCAGTTTTTTATAGAATTTATAGAAAATTAAATTTCACCACTGCAGAATGCACTTTACTTTTTTTCTCATATATGAATATTTTCCAAATGAGTTTATGTAGGACTATAAAATAAATCTCGGACAGTATCTCTGATAATAGTATGTTTAACTAAAAGCCAATAATAAAAATGCAATTACAAGATTCTCCCAATATTTTGAAATTAAGAAATATACTTAAGTCCTGGGTCAAGGAAGAGATGAAAATGGAAATTAAAACACAATTTAAACTGAGTGATTATGGCCTACAGATGTAGTGATACTGACTTTATGATAAATTTGGCACTGAATACCAGTAGAGACAAGATATATTTTTCAAATTAATGGTACTCTGTCATTTGAATACTCATAGGAATGCAATATAACAACCCTGCCTCACAACCCACACAGACTAAATCTAGTTGAGTTATATTTATATAGAGAAGAAAAGTTTAAACAATAAATGGTCTATAAATTACAAAGGACTTTGTAGTTGGGTAAGATTTCCTAAAGAGGATATAAAATACATTAAGGTTAAAAAAACTTAAATGTTAGTACTGTTTTTCATTAAAAGAGACAATTAAGATAATAAAGTTATAAACTACAGAGTAGGAGAAAATATTGTCAAAATGTTATGTCTGAAAAAGGGATCGCAGCAATAAAAAAGTACAAATCAACAGGAAACAGAACAAGAAATCAATATGCAAAATATTGCTAAAAGACTTACACAAGTACTTTATAAAACAGGCTATCTGGGTGTACAATAAGCATATAAAATATAAAGCAAGCAAAATAAAAATCGAAGGCATCATTATGTACACATATCAAGTTGCAACAATTAAAATGCTTAACAATGCCAAATATTACCAAGGATGTTAAATATATGGGACTACTCATCCATTGCTGTTAGGAATGTATATTGGAACCACTCCTTTGGAAAATATTTTGTAAGTGGGCAAAAGACCTAAACATATGCATACCTTCTAATCTAGCAACTTTACTCCTAGGCATATAATAAAGAATTAAATATATCTGCACATGAAATGTAAGCACAAGAATATTTATAGTAGCATTAAATGCTAGAGTTCAAAACTAGAATCAACTGAAATGTGTGACAAAAATAGAATAAATAAATAGTGATATAGTCATACACTAAGAAATACGCAGAAGTGAACATTATTTAACTATGTTGCAGATAGCAAAATTGATGACTTTCATAAACTTAGTGTTGAGTAAAAGAGTTTAGAGACAAAATGAAGTGTTTTTCATAAACAATTTATATGTTAGTGGAAAATAGGCAAAACAATCTACTATTTTTAAAAAATTTAATTGTGGTAAAATGTACATAAAATGTATCCTGTGAATCATATATGGATACAGCCATATATATAAGGATTTATTTCTGGGCACCTCATTTTATTCCTTTGCTATATATGTATGTCTGTCTTTATGACGGTATCGCACTGTTTGTTTACCATCACTTTTGAATGAAAGTACTTTTTGAAAGATTGTTTTGGCTATTTGCGACCTCTTGAGATTTCATATGAATTTTATAAAAACTTCTATTTCTTTAAAGAATGTTATTGGAATTTCTATAGGTATTGCATTGAACTCATAGGCTGTTTTGGGTAGTATTGACATCAAAACATTATTAAGTCCATAATTTCCTATTTTTAAAATATAGCCAATACAGTAGGCAGATGTGAGATATTTAAGAACAATTGTCAGAACTACAGGGCAGTTTCCAGATTGCATATAAGTGACCTTAACAATTTACAACAAAAGTCTCACTGCAGCACGCACAACTTTTGAGGAAACTTTAATTTTAGAGAAAAGGAAATATCAGCAACAAAAGCAGAAGTGAAAATAATTTCCAAGTTACAATTCTACACTTAGCTATGGTATCAATCAGACGTGAAGGCAGATTAAAGACATAATGGATGTCAAATGGAAAAATTTCACTTTTCTCTACATTTTGGCTGTGACCTCAAGCTGAAAAAGTAGATAATAATAGTCACATAATCGAAAATGAGTTGAAGACACATCTCCAGTTAATTTGAAAATAGTTGACTTGAAATTTCTCACTTGCAACCCATAACCCATCTAACTATTTATGAGCAGATGATAATATAGAGATTTATCAAAAAGGGAAAGGAGACATTGTAACATTAGTAGTTAGTCTAGTATGACGTTCTATTTATATACTCTCTTTCCAATACCCAATTAAATAAAATCAATGGGTGGTCCCTGGCAACAACATAAAACCTAATGAAAATATTGGAGTATTATTTCCATTTTGAGTAGTGTGAGATTAATGCGCTTTTTTAACAATTGAGGGAAATTTATGCACAAATAAATTACCTAGGAAAAAGCTAAACACATGCACAAACAAACGTATTCATTGTTGAAAATAGGCATGGTAGATCATTTTGGAGAGGATTATAGAAAATGTAAGGGGTGGGTGTAGAGAGAGAATATATGGGAAAACTTTGCACTTTCTGTTGAATTTTTCTGTAAACTAAAACCATTCTACAAAATAGTCTATTGATCTTTAAAAACTGCAAGGAAATAGAAAGAAACCTGTAATATAATTTGAGATTTCAATATCCCTCTTTTAATATTGGATAGTGTAAATAAAATGAAAACCATGGAAGATAAAGTCTTGGCCAACATTTTAAATCAATTTAATACAATTTATATTTATAGAGTAATCAACTGAAGATGAAAAGGAAAAATATTTTAAGGAGTACGGAGAGCATTTACCAAAAGAAACCATATTTGGAGCAGTTAAACAAATCACAATGAATTTAAAATGATCTAAACGATCCAAGCTATATTATAGTCTTTTTTTTTTTTTGAGAGAAGTCTTGCTCTTGCTCTTGTCCCCCAGGCTTCAGTGCAATGTCTCGATCTCGGCTCACTGCAACCTCTGCCTCCCAGGTTCAAATGATTCTCCTGCCTCTGCCTCCCAAGTAGCTGGGATTAAGGCGCCTGCCACCATGCCCGGCTAATTTTTGTATTTTTTAGTAGAGACGGGGGTTTCACCATGTTGGCCAGGCCCAGGCTTGTCTCGAACTCCTGACCACAGGTGATTCTCCCCTCCTTGGCCTCCCAAAGTGCTGGGATTACAGGCATGAGCCACCGCGAAATTGCAGCCTCTGACCATAATGATATTAAACTGGAAATAAAAAACCAGAGCTCTCTCTAGAAAATCCCCAAAATATTTGGAACTCAATAATAGGTTTCTAATAATTGCTTTTGTGATAAAATAAATAAAGAGAAACATTAGGAAGTGTTTTACCCATAATGAAAATAAAAATGCAACATATCAACATTTGTAGCATGCCATTACAAAGCAATATAGGTAAGAAGTTTTCACACTGAAAATCTACATTAGCAACGGAGAAATTTCTCACATCAATTACTACAGCTTCCACTCAAAGAAACTAGAAAATCAAGTAAAAAGTATAGCTATAGTAAGCAGCAGAAAAAATCTAAATGAAAATAATTGAAATAAAAAATTAAAAAATTGAGCCAAAACCTGATTCTTGTAAGATAAATTTAAAAATAAACTTGTCGTATGAATCAGGAATAAAGTGACATAAATCACCAATATTAGAAATTACATAAATGACATGGATTTTAACAAGCTCTTCAAGTAATTTTGATGCCTGACAACTCTAGAATAACAGAGAAAAAAACTCAAATTACACCGTTTGGGTGGTGAGAACCAGCACATTTTTTTTTTTCACGTAAAATGATCCCCCAAAGCAGTTAAAAGTAATATAATTCTTTTAACTGAACTCTTATAAGAAAGTGATGAAAAACACAACAGACTTCATACAAGGCTCTATTCACCCCTTTATTCCAAAGACAGTCTCTTTGCAAAAACTCGGCTCTGATCTTTCTCCCTGTCACATGGTTTGTGAACTCTCCAGCTCAAGAAATTGACATTGTCAGTCCCCTTAGCTTTCTCTTTTTATCCCTTTTACACTCCACATTGACATTTCATGTCTATAAGTAAATATGTCTATACATATCTCACATATTTTTTCTACCTGAATTCTATATATTACCTCACTACATAAAAGGAAAAAATATCTTTATAAATCAGGTAAAAATAAAGCAATTTTAAATATATGCATAATCTTGTTATAAAATGAAGTCTACATTTTTACCTAGAGCTGAGACCATTTGCTGAGTTTTGTGTGGTTTGGCATGTTTGAGTCATTAAGAAAGATGTTAATTGAAAGTAAATCATCAGGATCCTGAGAAATTTCATACTTTGATCCTCTGGGTTTCTTCGATTCTAGTAACTATATGTAAACAATTTCTATATAGTGCGTTCAGTGTTCAAAGTGTGTTTATACATATTACAGCTTCTTGTTTCTTAGTGAAAGTTGTAAAGCTCACAAAATAAAAGTGCAAGTTCAATTTCATTAATAGCTTGAAGTTTAAGCTCAATTTCGTTAATTTCATCTTAGGTGTGTCATTACCCATTTAGTTTGAAATTTTTCCAATTTGCATGTGATAGTATCCATTATACTTTTAACTGATTATTTTGCATGTATTTTAGAAAAAACCACACAGAGAAAATTATGAGGTGTCTCAAATAGAATTTAAAGAAAAGCCAAAAATGAGATTTGTCATAGAATATGATAATAAAGAGAAATTCAACATCAGATGTTACCAAGATTGCTGACACAATGAAACAAACAGAATATAGGAAAAAAAGTTATTATTACTGTATCAGTGGATTAGCAGTGGTCTCACGTTATGGTATTGACTTGCATTCCCCTAATGGTGAATGATTGGTAGCATTTTTTACTATGCTTGTCACCTCTATATCATTTGGAGCAATGGCTGTTCAATTTGTGTGCCCGTTTTCAAATCGGGTTGTCTTTTTCTTTTAGAGCTATAAAAGTTTTTTTGTATACTTTAGATATGCCTCATCATAGATATGTTTGGCAAAAATGTTTTTGTATCACAATTTAGAAATCATTGCCTAATTTAACGTTATAAATATTTGCTTCTATGTTTACATGTAAGATTTGTATAATTTTTGCTCTTATAATAAGGTCTATTACCTATTTTGATATGATAATTGTATGTTGTGTGAGGTAGGATTCCAAGTGTATTCTTTTACATACTGATAACTAGTTGGCCGAGGACTATTTGTTGAAAAGGCTAATATTTCCAACAGTGAAGTGTCGTGGCATCCTTGTCAAAAATTAGTTGACCGTAAATGTGAGGATTTATTATTGCCTAATTGTTCTGGGTGTAAGCTCCGGTATGATATTGAATAGAGGTGACAAGAGTAAATAATATGTTGTATTATTGATCTTAGGAGGAAAGCTGTCAGTCATTCTTCATTAACATAATGTTAACTGTGGCCATTTTATATATGATTTTTACCAGGTTGAAGACACACCAACATGGTTTGGCTGTATCCCCACCGAAATTGCATCTTGAATTGTGGCTCCCAGAATCCCCATGTGTTGTGGGAGGGACCAAGTGGGAGGTAATTGAATCATGAGGGTGAGTTTTTCCCACGTTGTTCTTGTGACAGTGAATACGTCTCACAAGCTCTGATGGTTTATAAATGGCAGTTCTCCTGGACATGCTTTATTGCCTGCTGCCATGTAAGATGTGCCTTTGCTTCTTCTTCACCTTCCACCATGATTGTAAGGCCTCCCCAGCCATGTGAAACCATGAGTTCAATGAATCTCTTTTTCTTTATTAATTAACAAGTTTTGGGTATTTATTTATAACAGTATGAAAATGAACTAATACAGTATATTGGTACAGGTAGAGTTGGGTACGGTTATTAAGATACATGAAAAAGTGAAGGCAACTTTGGAACTGGGAAACAGGCAGAGCCTGAAACAGTTTGGAGAACTCAAAAGAAGACACAAAGATGTGGGAAAGTTTGGAGCTTCCTAGAGACTTGTTTAATGGTTTTGACCAAAATGCTTATAGTGATATGGAAAATGAAGATCAGGCTGAGGTGGTCTCAGATGGAGATGAGTAGCTTATTGGGAACTGGAGAAAAAGTAATTCTTGAGATGTTTTAGCAAAGAGATTGGCAGCATTTTGCCCCTGCCACAGAGATCTGTGGAACTTTGGACTTTAGAGAGATGATTTAGAGTATCTGGTGGAAGAAATTTCTAAGCAGCAAAGTGTTCATTAGGTGATTTAAGTGCTTGTAAAAGCATTCTGTTTTCTTCATTCACAAAAATATGGTTTGGAATTGGAACTCATGTTTAAAAGGGAAGCAGAGCATAAAGGTTTGGAAAATTTGCAGCCTGATGATGCAATAGAAAAGAAAAAACCCATTTTCTGAGGAGAAATTCAAACCAGCTGCAGAAATTTGCATAAGTAATGAGGAGCCAAATGTTAATATCCAAGGCAATGGGGAACATGTCTCCAAGGCATGTCAGAAGTCTTCACAGAAGCCCCTCCCATCACAGGCCTGGAGGCCTAGGAAGAAAGAATGGTTTCCTGGGCTGGGCCCAGGGCCTTGCTGCTTTGTACAGTCTTGGGACTTGGAGTCCCAGCCATAGCTAAAAAAGGCCAATGTGTAGCTATCACCATTACTTCAGAGGGTGCAAGCCCCAAGCCTTACAAATGGTGTTGGGTCTGCAGATACACAGAAATCAATAACTGAAGTTTGAGAACATCCACCTAGATTTCAGAGAAAGTATGGAAGCTCCTGGATGTCCTGGCAGAGGTGTGCTGCATGGGTGGAGCCCTCATTGGGAAGCTCTGCTAGGGCAGTGTGCAAGGAAAATGTGATGTAGAAGCCCCCATAAAGAGTTCCCACTAGAGCGCTGCCTAGTGGAGCTTTGAGAAGAGGGTCACCATACTCCAGACCCCAGAATGGTAGATCCACCCACTGCTTGCACCACGGGCCTGGAAAAAGCCACAAACACTCAATGCTAGCCTGTGAATGCAGCCAGGATCTGTGCTGTACCCTACAAAGCCACAGGGGTAGAGCTCCCCAAGATTATGGGAACCCACTTCTTGCATCAGCGTGACCTGGATGTGAGACACGGAGTCAAAGGAGATCATTTTGGAGCTCTAATATTTGATACCCCACTGAATTTCAGACTTGTGTGGGGCCTGTAGCCCCTTCATTTTGGCCAATTTTTCCAATTTGGAAGGGGTGTATTTACCCAATGCCTGTATCCCCATTGTATCTAGGAAGTAATTAATTCACTTTTGATTTTATAGGCTCATAGGTGAATGGGACTTACCTTGTCTCAGATGAGACTTTGGACTGTGAACTTTTAAATTAATGCTGAAATAAGTTAATATTTGGGGGTACCATTGGGAAGGCATGGTTGGTTTTGAAGTGTGAGAACATGAGATTTTGGTGGAGCCAGGGGCAGAATCTCACGATTCTCATGAGAATCAAATCTCTTCTTGAATTGTAGCCTCACAATCCCCACATGTCATGAGAGAGACACCAGGAAAGGGGGTGGGGGGGGGTAACTGAATCATGGGTCTGAGTTTTTCCCATTCTATTCTTATGATAGTGATTAAGTCTCATGAGATCTGATGGTTTTATAAAGGGCAGTTCCCCTGCACAAGCTCACTTACCTGTCACCATATAAGACATGCCTTTCCTCCTCTTTTGCCTTCAACCATGATTGTGAGGCATCCCCAGCCATGTGGAACTCTGAGTCCGTTAAATCTCTTTTTCTGTGTATATTACCCAGTGTTAGGTATTTCTTCATAGCAGTATGAAAATGGAATAATATACACACCCGTTTATTCTTAGCTTGTTTAGTGTTTTTATTAGGAAAATATTAAATTATACCACACGCCTTTTATGCTTATATCGTGATGACCATGACTTTTTAGTTTATTCTATTAATACATTCTGATCAGTAACAATTGACAGGATATTTCTAAAGATTTTTCAAATTATGTTTCTGAGATCTAGAAATATGAACCCCTGTATATGATCCCTTTGCCTTACCTCTGCCTTTTATCTTAAATGTCCACCTTATCTCAGAGAACATGGGCAGGTTATTCTTGCATTTTCCCTTTCTAACTAATGTGATGGTTAGATGTATATGTCAAGTTGAGCAAGTCACATGGTGCTCAGATGTTTGGTAAAATATTATCCTGGGTGTTTCTGTGAGGGTGGTTTTGAATGGTATTAATATTTTAATTGGTAGAATAAAAAAGATTGCCTTCTATAACATGACTGGATCTCGTCCAATCAGATGAAGGCCTGAATAGAACAAATGATTAATCCTCTCCCAAATAATGGAGAATTCTCCAATGGACTGCCTTTGAACTTCATCTACAATATTGGCTTTTCCTGCCTGCGGGAATTCAACCTGGAACATTGCCTGTGCTTGACTCCGCAGCTGCTGGCCTACCCTGTAAATTGGACTTACCAACCTCTTTAATCATGTGAGCCAATTCCTTATAATAAATTTCTCTCTCTCTCTCTCTCTATATATATATATATATATATGTGTGTGTGTGTGTGTGTGTGTGCGCGCGCATGTATGACAGTGTTTCTATTTATTTCAAGAAACCTGACCAATACAGCTAATAAAGACTCCTCTGAATCATATATTTTTTCCTTTTTATCTCAGCCTCAAAGGTTAATAGGGTACATGGAGATAAGCTTCAGGGAATTTCCAAGTGATTATAACCATTATACAGTGCCACACACATTACAGCCCTTCAATAGATTCATATCACTGCTATACTCTTGAGATGAATGCAGTATGGAGATAAATAAAATCTAAGCATCCATGTAGTATTCTGTATTAATTTTTTCTTTTTATCTTTTGGTTCACTGGCATTAGAACTTTAATCACATCAACCCAAGAATTCCTGAATGGGGAACATGTTTCTGTTTGGGAGGGTAATTTCTATACATAAATTGTCTAAAAATAATTATCATTGTTTTCTGAAGTTTGGCCTGGAGATATTTAATGTACACACTTACTTTCTCTGGCCATTTCTAGTAATCATATGCAATATACCAATAGTGTGTTAGACTGTTTGCTTCAAATGTATACACTGTCAATAAAACAAAATAAAACATTTTATGTTATGCTAATTTTCTTCTATGTCTCGGAAACTATGAAATAATATAAATATTGCTCCTCAATGACTTCCTCTTTGGATTCAACACTTCATATATTTAGTTTATATTCATTAATTTAACAAAACATTAATGAACAATATGTGTGAGGCCTGGGGTAATGCCTTGGGGAATGGGAATGAAGAGGACAGGCTCTATTCTCGTCTTCTGGGACATACACAAGAAAGGCTTTGTTATTTGGAGAATAATTTGTGATGATATGATGATTACATGTAAGTACATATTTTTAAAATTTTGGAATAAAATTGAACTTAAAAATTAGGGGTGGGAAGTGTGATGTTTTAATATTTTTTAAATTGATATTATAAATTAAATCAGGTAATTTTTAAAAATATATTAGTAATAGAAGAAAAGACCACAAATATTTTCATTATTTGTATTTTATTAAAGTTTCCACTTGAATATATAATGTGTTCATCTTTTTAATAGATAAAACATACCTAATTTTTTTTAAAAAAAATATTCCCTTTGTTTCTCTGCTTGCACTGATTATGACTATAATATTCTAATATATTCTGACTGACTCATTATATTGGTGTATAGTTTCTGTCATAGTTATACTAATGGATATAAACGTAAATATATATTTATAGATTTGACTATGCATGCACAAAACAAACACAAAACTCACATTTCTTTGAGGTCAGGCTTGAGTATATTAATATTTATTAAAACTAAATGTTATAGAAATTTCTATAAGTTATGATTGTGATTACTTAACCTTTCCTGAAATGTAAGTAATAAGTAAATGTTTTAAAATGCCTTTATTTATAAATTTTCTGCAGGGATTTTTATTGATTTTTTTCACTGGAGAAAAATGCAGAATCAAATTCAACATCGTGGGGTCAGATAACGTGTTTGGGCTCAAAATGCACCATGAATCAAACATAGTTCATATACAGTGAACATTACATTTCATACGAGTAAACATAATTTGTTAAGGCAGAAAGTTAGATGCCTCTATTTCTTTGCCTGAGATTAGTGAGGGAGAAAAAAAGAAAGAAGAGGAGGGGGAGAAAGAAGGCAAGAATGAAGGGAAGAAGTAAGGAAAAAAACAAGATAATGAAAGAAGAAAGCATAGAAGAAAGGAAGGAAGACAGACAATTTTATGTTTGAAGTATAGTGGGTAACTTTGTTTACTTTTCTAGACAGGAAACTTGAGGGTGGAAGGAATTATTCTCGTTTACTTGCTGATTAGATAGTGAGAATATTATTTTATTTTATTTTATTTTATTTTACTTTTTTATTTTATTTTATTTTATTTTATTTTATTTTATTTTATTTTATTTTATTTTATTTTATTTATTTTATTTTTTGAGACTGAGTTTCACTCTCATTTCCCAGGCTGGAGTACAATGGCCCGATCTCGTCTCACTGCAACCTCTGCCTCCCAGGTTCAAGCAATTCTCCTGCCTCAGCCTCTTGAGTAGCTGGGATTACAGGCACCCGCCACCATGCCCTGCTAATTTTTGTGTTTTCAGTAGAGACAGGGTTTCACCACGAGTTTGGCCAGGCTGGTCTCAAACTCCTGACCTCAGGTGATCCACCCCCTCAGCCTCCCAAAGTGCTGGGATTATAGGTGCGAGGCACTGCGCCCAGCGGAGAGTACTGTATTTTAAATCAACCATAAATTTTCTTTGCTCATGATTTAAAAGGTTTAGATATATAATTATTTCTAATTAATATCATGAATTTTAAAATATAATTAAATCTATAAATTTTAAACTTATACTATATCATCTATTCTATTTATAAGTCTAGAAAATTTCAATAGGTCTTTGATAATGTTTGTTCACACTTGAAAACATAAATACATTAAAACATTTCAAACTGCATTTATACATTTACTAAGTTTGGTTTCCATTTCAAATACTTTTATTAGATGGATTAACAAACACAATTTTGTTAAGTAGTAAATAACAAAAACAAGAAATGTTAAACATAACTTTAGAACAAGGTAATATCATGACTCATACAGATATAAAAAATGAATGAATGTTAAAAGCTATATTCTACTCATTAATCAATGAGGGAACCACATAGATTATGTAACTTGTTCAAGAAGAATCTAAAGAAGAGTTACATTTATAGATCAAGAATATTGAAATGCCCGTTTGGTTGAAGGCAAACTGATTTTTGCACATCAGAGAGGGGAGTCTATTAAATTTCTACTGCATAGAACATATTTGAATGTCTGTAATTTATTTACTATATACAGAATTAGAAACTTGTACAAAGGCAATGAAAGGCTAGATTAGATAATCTCAAGAGGTATTCTCTAGACAAATCACAGTTTTCCATTGAAGTACATAATATTTTTTCAAAAATTAAATATATGTATACCGTGAATATTAGTCGCTTAAATACTGTGATGTTGAATAAAATTTAGTGCTCTTATAATGTAGAGCACTATGCCTAAAGTAGTTATTCAATTATACATTTTATTTTGATGTAGTGAAGCTGTCACTTAGGTCAAATCATCTTAAAAATTATAAGTGAATACAAAGCCAAAATGTTTATAAATATCTCCTGAACACAAAAATGTTTACTATAACTTAATAATAGTCAGTAATATATTACCATTTCTAGATTAAATTCCAAATCTTCTGAGGTTGAAAGTGCTTCTCTGAGGAATACAATAATAGAAACTGTAGCTGATGTGCGGAGACCTGGGTTTGCAGAAATATGGGCAATTCCTTGCTCCAACAACTACAGAAACTCTTAGACCAATTCCAGCAATGTTTAGGGAATCTACTTCACATGACCAATGTTCTAACTGAACAGAATATGTAGAATAAAAAAAAATCCCTCTAGGGTAGCTTCTTATGCAATGAATTGGACATAATGATATTAATAATTCTGAATTACTGAAAAAAGATAGTAGCAATATTATAAAAAGTAAAGTTAAAAAAATTAGTCCATGTCTCTGGAGTCAAGTTTAAGCAAATTATAGAGGAGAATTTCAAAAGTCCTTGTGGAGATATTTGAATGTATGTCTTCAATGTGATTTTTTTTACCTTACATACTCTCACCTATCCCCCACCCGAAATGTCAGTGAAACCTAAATATCGGTTCTTCAATTCTATTATTCCTATCTTCCTGCTCTGATGTATACTGTCTGTTGTAGTAAAAGGGATTTTGACAGGAAACACCAGTTAAATTAAGGTTGATGAAAATTATATTTTCAATTGCAGAAAATAAAGACAAAATAAACTTTGGAGAAAAAAATTACAAATTAAATATTTAAGATAATATTTAAGACATTGATTTATGAATGGTGATCTTTAAGAAAAAAATTTAATTAAAACGTTTTATTTTGTAACTGTGTTACATTCTGCATTAATTTTTGTTGTCCTAAATTATACACTGGAATCTTAGCTAGTTAGATCATTTCTTTTTATTAAATAGCTGTAACAGTATTTTAAAAGAAGAGATGGATCCACCTAATCTGGAGCTTATTACTGTTAAAATAAACACCCATGCACTGTTATATATTTGGTTTCTAGTAGTACTCAACACTGTAAATTGGGTGGCATATATTTAATATCATGAAATTTAATGGAAAATTATACTGATAATTGAAAATGTATAACAGTGATATATTTCTATATATTGAATATATGTAACAATAGTAATGAAGAAATAACAAGACCTTAAAGGTATTCAAAACCTGTGTTTATTTGAAAAAAAAAACATTGGTAAGAAAATGATTAGAAATATATGAACAATATATATATTTGAGAGAAGAAACTGCTTAAGAGTGTTATATAATAAAAAAGATGTAATATTACTAGTTAATGAAGTATTTAGTTAAAGCAAAATATTTAATAGAGAGAGAGAGGAGAAGATGGCCAATTAGATGCAACCAGGAAGTGCCTTTTCCCCTGAGAGAGATGAAAATTTCTAGTAAATCAACATGATTTGAACAAATCTTTGGAGAAAAATAAAAAGAAAAGCCAAGAGTATAGGGAGTATATACAGAACACTTCACCCCAAAACCACAGAATATACATCTTTCATATCTACACAAGAACATACCCTAAGTTTGATCACATGCTTATGACCATAAAGTAACTCTCAATAAATTAAAACAAAATCGAAATACATCAAGTATAATCTCAGACCACAATTTAATAAAAATCGAAATCAATATCAAGAAGATCACTCAAAACTACACAAATTCATGGAAATTAATCAACTTGCTTCTGAATAACTTGTCAGTGAACATCAAAATTAAGGTAGAAATAAAAACTTTTTTGAAATTAATGAAAATGGGCACACAACTTGCCAAAACCTCTGGGATGTAACTAAAAGCAGTCTTAAGAGGAATTTTTACAGCACTAATCACCTTCATCCAGAAGTTAGAAAGATTTCAAATTAATAGTCTAACTAAAGGTAGTATAAAATGTAAAGGTTATGAGGTCAAGAGATTGAGGCCATCCTGACCAACATCATGAAACCCTATCTCTACTAAAAATACAAAAATTAGTTAGGCATGGTGACATGCACCTGTAGTCCCAGCTACTTGGGAGGCTGAGGCAGGAGAATCGCTTGAACCAGGAAGGCAAACGTTGCAGTGAGCCGAGATCGTGCCATGGACTCCAGCCTAATGAGTGAGTGAGACTCCATCTCCAAAGGAAAAAAAAACAAAAAACAAAAACAAAAACAAACAAACTAAAGGAAACTAAAAGAACCAAAAAAAAAAAAAAAAAGGAAAATTCAAACCCAAAGCTAGGAGAAGAAAAGAAATAACTAAAATTAGAAAAATGCTGGAGAAAATTGGGATGTAAAAATTCATATGAGAGATCAATGAAACAAAGAGCTGGTTCTCAAAAAAAATCAAGATTGATAGACTGCTAGGTAGATTAACAACAAAAAAAGAGAAGATACAATGAAATACAATAAAAAATGACAAAGATGACATTATAGCTGATCCCACAGAAATACAAAAGAGCCTCAGAGAGTGCTATGAAGAACTGTATGCACACAAATTAGAATATCTAGAGGAAATGGATAAATTACTGGAAACACCAAATATCCCAATATTATATTAGGAATAAACTGAAACATCAAACAGACTAATTTTGAGTTCCAAATTCAAACTAGTAATAAAAAACCTATTAGCCAAAGAAAGCCCTGGATCAGATGAATTAATAGCTGAATTCTACCAGACATACAAAGAAAACTTGTTCCAAGAAATATGTGCCAACTGAACATATTCCAAAAAATCAAGGCGGAAGGACTCCTCTGTAACTCATTCAAGAAGCCAAAATCAGCATGATGCCAAGCTCTGGCAGAAATACAATAGAAAAAGAAAGCTTCAGTCTAATATTCCTAATGACCTTAGACACAAAAATCCTCAACAAAATCCCAGCAAACAGAATCCAGCAGAACATCAAAAAGTTAATACACCACGATTAAGTAGGCTTTATTCCTGGAATGCAAAGCTGATTCAACACACCAATCAATAAATGTGATTCAACACATAAACAGAATTCAAGGCAAAAGTTATGTGATCATCTCAATAGAACCAGACCAGGCTTTTGATAAAATCCAACATTCCATCATGATAAAAACCCTTAACAGACTAGGCACTAAAGGAACATACTTCAAAATAATAAGAGCCATCTATGGCAAACCCACAGCCAACATTATACTGAATGAACTAAAGCTGGTACCATTCACTTGAGAACTGAAACAGGAAAAGGATGCCCACTCTCACCACTCCTATTCAACATAATACTGGAAGTCCCAACCACAGCAATCAAGCAAGAGAAAGAAATAAACAGCATCCAAATAGAAAAAGAAGACAAGAACTATCTCTCTTTGCTGATTATGTAATTCTATACTTAGAAAACCCCAAAGACTCTGCCAAAAGACACCAATATCTGATAAATGACTTTAGTTTCAGGATAAGAAATCAATGTACGAAAATCAGTAGCATTTCTATACACCAATAACATCCAGACTGAGTCAAATCAAGAACAAATCCCATTTACAATAGCCCCAAAGAAAACAAAATACTTAGGGATACAGTTAACCAAGGAGGTGAAAGAACTCTAAAACACAAACAACAAAACACTACTGAAAGAAGTCAGAGATGACACAAATAAATGAAAATATATTCCATCTGATCGACTGGAAGAATCGATATGATTAAAATGGCCGTCTTGCTCCAAGTGATGTACAGATTCAATACTATTCCTATCAAACTATCAACATCATTCTTCAATCAGTTAGACTAAAACTATTCTAAAATATATATGAACCCCCCCCCAAAAAAAAAGCCAGAATAGCCAAAGAAATCCTAAGGAAAAAGAACAAAGCTGAAGGCATCACATTATCCAATTTCAAACTATACTATAATGCTGTAGTAACCAAAACAGCATGGTACAGTTACAAAAGCAGGTACATAGACCAGTGGAACAGAATAGAAAACTCAGTAATAAAGCTGTACACCTATGACTATCTGGTTTTTAACAAGTTGGACAAAAGCAATGGGAAAAGGACTACCTAGTTAATAAATGGTGCTGAGATAACTGGTTGGCCATATGCAGAATAAAGAAACTGGATCATATACAAAAATTAACTCAAGATAAAGTTCAACCATTGTAGAAGACAGTGTGCGATTCCTCAAGGATCTAGAACCAGAAATACCATTTGGCCCAGCAATCCCATTACTGGGTATATACCCAGTGGATTATAAATCATTCTACTATAAAAACACATCCACATGCATGTTTATTACAGCACTATTTACAATAGCAAAGATTTGTAACCAACTCAAATGCCCATCAAAGATAGACTGATAAAGAAAATGTGGCACATATACACCATGGAATACTGTGCAGCCATAAAAAGGAATGAGATCATGTCCTTTGCAGGGACATGGATCAAGCTGGAAGCCATCATTCTCAGCAAACTCACACAGGAACAGAAAACCAAACACAGCATGTTCTCATTCATAAGTGGAAGTTGAACAATGAGAACACATGGACACAGGGAGGGGAACAACACACATCAGGGCCTATGGAGGTGTCGGGGGCAAGGAAAGGGAGCGCATTAGGATAAATGCCTAATGCATGTAGGGATTAAAACATAGATGACAGGTTGATAGGTGCAGCAGCAAACCACTATGGCACATGCATACCTATGTAACAAACCTGCACATTCTGCACATGTATCCTGGAACTTAAAGTAAAATAAATAAATAAATAGAGATTTAAAACATTAACTCAAGGTAAAGATTTAAATGTAAGACATCAAACTACGAAAACCTTAGAAGAAAACGTAGGAAACATCCTTCTGGATTTCCACCTTGACAAATAATTTTTGGTCATGTTACCAAAAGTAATAGCAACAAAAACAAAAATTGACATGTGGAATCTAATTAAACTAAACTAAAGAGCTTCTTCAAAGAGGAAGTGAAAATATTCACAAACTATGCATCTGACAAAGGACTGCTATCCAGCAACTATAAAAAAGTTTTCAATATGGTATTTAATATTCATTCTGTTTTTAAATAAAAATAATTCAACTCATAGAACTAACTATGCATAAAGTACATTTATCAACCTGTGTTTTAATATTATTGTATTAGGGCATAAAGTAGATAATGATATAAAAAATGAATCTCACCAAGAGTATTTTAACACTTTAGGGGCTATATGTTAAAAAAAATTGAGAAACAACATTTATGCACTAAAATGTACAAATCTTTTAAAAATTTCATTGTGCTAAGAACATTTAACATGAGTTATACTCTCAACAGATATCTATCGATCTATTTATATATATGTATATTATATATATATATATATATATATATATATATATATATATATATACATTTTTTTTTTGTGTGTGTGACAGACTCCCACTCTGTTTCCCAAGCTGGAGTGCAATGGCGTGATCTCGGCTCACAGTAACCTCCATCTCCCAGGCTCAAGCAATTCTCATACCTCAGCCTTCCAAATAGCTGGGACTACAGGCACGCACCACCATGCCTGGCTAATTTTTGTATTTTTAGTAGACAACAGGTATGCACCACCACGCCTGGCTAATTTTTGTATTTTTAGTAGAGAAAAGGGTTTCGCCATGTTGGCCACGCAGGTCTTGAATTCCTGGCCTCAAGTGATCTGCCTGTCTTGTCCTCCCAAAGTGCTGGGATTAAGCGATGAGCCACCATTATTGGCCTACTTTCAACAGATTTTTAAGTATACAATACAGTATTGTTTTCTATAGGCACAATGTTGTACAGCAGATCTCTAGGATTTATTCATTGTTCACAAATGAAATTTTATACCCTTAGCAACTCCTCATTTCCCCTACCCTTAGCCCCTGGCAATCCTTCTACTATTTTTGGCTTCTATGAGTTTGCCTATTTTAGATAACTCATATAGGTGGAATCATGCAGTATTTGTTCTTCTATGACTGGCTTACTTCACTTACAATGATGTCCTCAAGATTCATCCATGTTGTTGCATATTGCAGGATTTCCTTCCATTATAAATCTGAACAATATTTCATTTTATACATTGAAAATATGTATGTGTAATATGCATAAAACACCATATTTTAATTCATTCATTTGTGAACATTTAGATATTTTCATATTTTATATCTATCCTGAATAATGTTAAAATGTGCAAATATTAACCATCATTTGAATGAATTTTTATATTTGCAAACATTCAGGTAACCATCAAACATATCAGGATTTAGAACAGTCCCAGCATATAAAAGTTTGTTCCAGCCTGTTTCCAGTCATTTCTTTTCCAGACAAATAACCACTATTCTGACTACTGTTAGTATAGATTAGTTTTTTTTATTTACAATCTTCCTATAACTGGAATCACAAATATGTACTCTCTTGCTTATTGCTACTTTGTCTGTTGAATAAAGTCATTAGAGTCATCCCTTTTTTTGCATACTGTTATAGGCTGATTCTTTTCTATTTGTTTTATGAAACATGCTGTGGTAAATAATTTAGCTCATACATTTTTTGCTACAAATATATTGTATAGTTTCACAAAAGGACAACTTACAGGTCAAATGATAAAACATTGTTTAAGTCTCATGATAAATGGTTTTAGAATGTTGATATCAATTTATACCCACACTGAAAATATATTTTGTGACTGTATGTCTGTGTGTGTGTGTGTGTGTGTGTGTGTGTGTGTAGTGAGGGAAGGACGGAGGGAAGTCAGGGAGAGAGATAGAGAGAGAGAGAGAGAATCCTTAAATTGTTTCCATAGTTTTATGTTGTATAGTACTCATGAGATATAAACTTGTTGAAGTTTGTAACTACAGTTGACTCAAACAACATGAGTTTGAACTACATGGTTCATTAATATGCAGATTTTCTTCTGTCTCTGCCAACACTGAGACAGCAAAACCAACCTTTCCTCTTCTTCCTCCTCTTTAGCCTATCCAATATGAAGTCGATGAGAATGAAGACTTTTATGATGATCCACTTCTACTTAATAGATAATATATTTTCTCTTTCTTATTTTTTCTGCCTTACATTATTGTAAAAATACAGTATATATTACATATAGCATATAAAGTATGTGCTAACTGGCTGTTTATATTACTGATGAGGCTTCCAGTCAACAGTAGGCTATTAATTATTAAGATTTTGGAGAGTCAAAAGTCATACGTGAATTTTCAACTGTATGGCGGGGATGGTCAGTGGCCCTAAAACCCACTCACACCACATTGCTTAACGGTCAACTGTATATCTTTCTTTCTTTTGTATTCTCCTATCTCCTTTTCTAAAATATTCAGTAGTAGGCACACATTGAGTATTTGCTTTTGAATGTCTCAGGAAATAACTGATGAAATACAGTACGATTTTTAAGTTTGAGTGCCTCTTTATAAATGAAAGCTGAAATAAGAAATCTGGCTGTAACTATGCTAGACTGAGAAGGATAACTGAAGCACAGTCACTTAATGGTTGCATATTATGTGTTTATCATTTGTGACTCCAGGTTTCTCTCTACAGGCAATATTAGCCTGTGTGTTTAAATTGTTTCTTTATTATAAGGAAGTGATTAAAAATTCTGCTGAGCTTTGAAGCAGTGATCTGGAGATAGAAAAAGCAAGAGATTTGAAAACATTACTGAGGGATTATAAATATCTAATAATAATAAACTGGTCTGTAATTAACTCTATGGGAGTTAGAGAATAACATTACAGTGTTAGAATAAACAAAAGACTACACTACAGCAATACATTCTTTTTAAATATAAGCATTTCCTAAGGACAAATTCAATGTCATCTTTTTCCCATTGTGACATTTTTGTTTGTAATACATTATTTTCCTTTATTTTTCTAGCTTATTTTCTAGTTTAACTATGATTGAACTAACTAGAATGCTCCTGATACCTAATTAATATAAGACCTCTTGATATAATGATAAATTTGTTCCAAAATCTACATTGATATCCTTTAGTTTCATTTGCCCTAGGTTCATAGTTAGATTATGTAATAATCTGAAGTAATATTGTATGATCGTGATAACTTAATTTTCAAGTTATCAACAAATAAATTATCAAGTATATTATTAGAAGACAGCACATTGGTAATAAATGCTATGTACTGGATAGCACTAATTTATAGGATATGAAGATTAACAATAGGTAAGAATTTAGAATCCATAATTTTTTACAAGTCAGAGCTGATAATTTTATGTTGAAAAGAATTTCCAAGCTATATGGTAATCATTGTTAACTTTTAACCTAGTATTTCATAGGGATAGGCTACTTAAATAAATTATAATTGCCATATTTTATAGAAGAAAGATATTTTATTTGGGACACTGAAATTGTTGACAATTAATTTGGTTTTGTAGTATTAACAGTTTTTACCTTTTGCCTTATTTTGTATCAGCTGAATTAAATTTAGACCTTAGAGAACATTTAATGCAATATTGCATCTTGTACATGTAAATTCTCCTTCAAAGTAACATCTCCTTTCACTATTTGTTGATGGTCTATTGTACCAAGGCATGATATTACAAAACTATAGCATAAACTAGTCTTTTAGACATGAAACTGCCCACTAAGTTTGCCTATTATGTGAAAGCATAATCCCTCAAAATAAGTTCCTTTATTGCTGCAAATGCTAGAATAAAAATACACTGAATCTTACAAAATGCAAAGCTCTTAAAAGAGTTTAGGGGCACTGCTTTAGTGTGGGTTTACCGTATCCGTACTTATTTTATCTTAGCTAAATTCTGATTGTCTATATAAGTGTTTCCCAAACAGGCTTCTAATAACCATTTGAACAATTTTGCATTTAGTATATAGCATCTTTATTCTTCATTATTTAACTTGTTAGTAGACTTAATCAATCTGCTTTTTAAATTTTTAAATTTTGCCTCATACTTGCCAATACTGTCCCTGAAACGAAATCCCTGGCTTCATGGACTAGACATATTTTTTCCGTATGTGCATTGAACATAAACATGTTAAGTAAGTAAAAGTACAAATGGTACACAGAAAGAGCAAAATTGTTCAAATGTCAATTAAAGGCCTATTTGGGAAACACTCATCTAGACAATCACAGTTTAGTTAAGGTAAAATTAATATGAATACACAAAAACTACACCAAAGCAGTGACACTAAACTATTTCAAGAGTTGTGCATTCTAAGCTCAGTGAATTCTCATTCCAGTATTTGCAGCAATAAAGGGATTTATTTTGAGACAGGATACTTTCACCTTATAGCCCACTTTAGTAGGCAATTTCAGGTCTAAAGGACAGGTCTATAGGACAGGTCTATGACATAGTTTTATAGTGCCAGGTATTAACATATTAACATACATGTATATATTCATATACCACCAAAAACTATTTTGAAAACCATGACAAGTATGAAGACCTACAATAGAAAATGCTGTCCTGCATGGCTGTTGTATTGGGATAAGAGTTAATAATGGAACATGATATATAGGTAAATTACAGAATTTTGGTACTTTATGCATTTGAAAAGTAAAGTCTAGATGTAGACCAAATATAAGATGTTCCTAGTTTAAAAAATGAATCAGAAAGTATATTCCAAATTCAAAATTTAGCCTTAAGATAGACCTGAATATTCAAACGTGGTGCTTTCGTTTAAAAGAATGAAATATCTTACCTTTATACCTAGAGCCAAACAGTTGATAAGGTTGAAAGTATATAGCTACTTAACTTCTTGTGTTTTACAAATATTTTTGCTTTGGGGCTTCTATTCAGGAGAGGAAGAAAATTCTAGAAAGATGAAAAGCCATTTTTAATGCATTTTTTTCATCTGACTACAAGCAGAAGTACATATTAAAAATTAAATTAAAGTAGTACACAGAAGCATATTCCATCTTGGTTCCACTCTCAATTTGTGAGGTCTATATGAGTTTGTGTAGTTGTATAGAAATTACTGTTTTTCCTTTCTCATACACTGTGAAAGAGAACATTTGATTATTGACAGAAAAAAACACATATTCTTGAATTGAGATGAGAAATATATGCAAATATAATTAATTTACTTTATTTCTGACAAATAAGCATTTATTCCCAAATTGGTAAAGCAAATTCTGAACTTTACTTAGATATAGTTTATGTATTATATAATGTAATTTAATGTTATAAATTTAATGCATTTTCCACAATCACCTTGATAGTGATGAACTGTGATTCTTTTTCATTGTAAAATGACCCAAAATAATTAGGTCAAACAGAGCCATTAGGTTTTTCTAGTTTACTACAATAATTAGATACAGGTAAGTATTATTGCTTTTCCACCACAGTCTTATTCACAGAGCAATTTCCTGACAATTTTGCAACACATGCACATACAAACTTTAGCATGTGTCGGCGGGGGGGGTGAGAAGCAGGAACACACTATAAATATAGTCATACAACATTTTTGGTAGAAGTTCACGAAGTCCTAGCTGTCTACTATTTTCAATTTTCTGATTAAAATTTTCATTAAATGTCCAATCATTGAAATTAGGTCTATTAGGGATTAAATTTATAATGTCAGCTACAAAAATACATTTTATTTTATTTCCAGCTTTTAAGTTCAGAGGTAATTGTGCAGGATGTGCAGGTTTGTTACATAGGTAAACATGTCCCGTGGTGATTTGCTACACAGATAATCTCATCACTCAGGTATTAAGTCCAGCATCCATTAGCAATTCTTCCTGATCCTCTCCATCTTCCCACCCCCTGCCTTCCGATAGGCCCCAGTGTGTGTTGTTCCTCACAATGTGTCCATGTGTTCTCATCATTTAGCTCCCACGTAAAAGTGAGAACACGAGGTATTTGGTTTTCTGTTTCTGAATTAGTTTGCTAAAGATAACGGCCTCCAACTCCATCCATGTCCTTGCAAAGAACCTAATCTCATTCATTTTTATGGCTGTATGGTATTCCATAGTGTATATGTACCACATTTTCTTTATCCAGTCTATCATTGAATGGCATTTAAGTTAATTTGATATCTTTGCTATTGGGAGTAGTGCTACAAAGAACATACTCATGAATGTGTCTATAATAGAATGATTTATCTTCCTTTGGGTATATACCCAGCAATGGTTGAACTAATTTACACCCTCACCAACAGTGTAAAAGTGCTCCTTTTTTACCACAACCGCACCAGTACCTGTTGTTTTTTGAATTTTTAATAATTGCCATTCAGACTGGTGTGAGATGGTACCTCATTGTGATTTTGATTTGCATTTCTCTAATGATCAATGATGTTGAGATTTTTTTTCATATGTTTGTTGGGTGCATGTGTGTATTCTTTTGAGAAGTGTCTGGTCATGTCCTCTGTCCACTTTCTAATGGGTTTTGTTTTCTGCAAATTTCTTTAAATTTCTTATAGATGATGGATATTAGACATTTTTCAGATGGGTAGATTGCAAAAATTTTCTCCCATTCTGTAGGTTGTCTGTTTACTCTGTTGATAGATTCATTTGCAGTACAGAAGCTCTTTAGTTTAATTAGATCCCATTTATCAATTTTTGCTTTTGTTGCAAATACTTTTGGCAGCTTCGTTATGAAATCTTTGCCCATGCCTATGTCCTAAATGGTATTGCCTAGGTTTTCTTCTAGAGTTTTTATAGTTTTGGGTTTCATTTCAGTCTTTAATCCATCTTGAGTTGATTTTTGTATGTGGTTTAAGGAAGGGGTCCAGTTTCCATTTTCTGCATACGGCCAGCCAGTTCTCCCAGCATCATTTATTAAATAAGGAATCCTTTCTCCATTGCTTGTTTTTGTCAGGTTTGTCAAAGATCAGATGGTGGTAGGTGTGCAGTCTTATTTCTGGGTTCTATATTCAGTCCCATTTGCCTATGTGTCTGTTCTTGTATCAGTATTGTGTTGTTTTGGTTACTGTAGCCATGCAGTATAGTTTGAAGTTGGATAGTGCGATGCCCCCAGCTTTGTTCTTTGGCTTAGGATTGCCTTGGCTATTTGGGCTTTTTTTTTTTTTTTTTTTTTTTGGCTCCTATGAACTTAAAAATAGCCCTTTGCTAATTCTGTGAAGAATGTCAATGGTAGTTTAATGGGAATAGCATTAAATCTATAAACTGCTTTGGGCAGTATGGCCATTTTTATGATATTGATTCTTCCTATCCATTAATGTGGAATATTTTTCCATTTGTTTGTGTCATCTCGAATTTCTTTGAGTGGTGGTTTGTAGTTCTCCTTGAGATCCTTCACTTCCCCTGTTAGGTGTATCCTTAGGTATTTTATTCTTTTTGTGGCAATTGTGAATGGGATTGCGTTCTTGATTTGGCTCTTTGCTTGCCTGTTGTTGGTGTATCAGAATGCTAACAATTTTTGCACATTGCCTTTGTGTTCTGAGACTTTGCCAAGTTGCTTATCAGCTTAAGAAGCTTTTGGGCTGAGACGATGGTGTTTTCTAGATACAGGATTATGTCATCTGCACACAAAGATAGTTTGACTTCCTCTCTTCCTATTTGACTACTCTATTTCTTTCTGTTGCCTTATTGCCCTGGCCAGAAATTCCAATACTGTGCTGAATAGGAGCTATGAGAGAGGGCACCCTTGTCTCCTGTTGATTTTCAAGGGGAATGCTTCCAGCTTCACCCATTCAGTATGATATTGGCTGTGGGTCTTACTATTTTGAGGTATGTTCCTTCAATACCTACTTTATTAAGAGTTTTAACATGAACAAATGTTGACTTTTATCAAAGGCCTTTTCTCCAGCTATTTAGATAACTTTGTGGTTTTGTTTTTAGTTCTGTTTATGTAATGAATCACATTTATTGATTTGTGTATGTTGAATCAGCCTTGCATCCCAGAGATGAAGCCAGCTAGGTTGTGGTGGATAAGCTTTTTGATGAGCTGCTGGTTTCGGTTTGCCAATACTTTGTTTAGGATGTTTTGTTTGCTTTAATTTTTTTTTTTTCAGATAGTGTCTCACTCTGTTGCCTAGGCTGGAATGCAGTGGCATGATCTCAACTCACTGCAACCTCCGCCTCCCGAGTTCAAGTGATTCTTCTGCCTCGCCTTCCCAAGTAGCTGGGACTACAGGTGCCTGCTACCACGCCCAGTTAATTTCCTTATTTTTAGTAGAGATGGGATTCCATCATGTTGGCCAGGCTGGTCTCAAACTCCTGACCTCAGGTGGTCCACCCACCTCAGCCTCCCAAAGTGCTGGGATTACAGGCATGAACCACAGTGCCTGGCATTTGTTTAGGATTTTTGCACCAATGTTTATCAAAGGTATTGGTCAGAAGTTTTCTTTTTTGCTGTATCTCTGCCATGTTTTTGTGTCAGGATCATGCTGGCCTCGTAGAATGAGCTAGGGAGGAATCCTCCCTTTTCAATATTTTGAAATAGTTTCAGTAGGAATGGTACCAGCTTTTCTTTGTACCTCTGGTATTACTAAGCTGTAAATTTGTCTTGTCCTGGGCTTTTTTTTTTTTGCTAGACTATTTATTACTGCGTGTATTTCAGAGCTTATTATTTCTCTATTTAGGGATTCAGTTTCTTCTTGATTCAGACTTGTGAGGGTGTATGTGTTCAGGAATGTATCCATTTCTTTTAGATTTTCTAGTTTATGTGCATAGAGATGTTTATAGTATTCTCTGATGGTTGTATTTCTGGGGAGTCAATGTTAATATCCTCCTGATCATTTCTGATTGTGTTTATTTGAATCATCTCTCTTTTCTTCTCTATTAGTCTAGCTAATGATCTATTTTATTATTTTTTTCAAAAAATATACAGCTCCTGGATTTGTTGACATTTTGAAGGATTTGTCATGTCTCTGTCTCCTTAAGTTCAGCTCTGATCTTGGTCATTTCTTATTTTCTGCTAGCTGTAGGGTTTGTTTGCTGTTCGTTCTCTAGTTTTTTAGCTGTGAGGTTAGGTTACTAACTTTAGATCTTTCTAGCTTTTTGATGTGGGTATTTAGTGCTATAAATTTCCCTCTTAACGCTGCTTTAGCTGCATCCCAGAGATTCTGCTATGTTGTATCTTTCTTCTCATTAGTTTCAATAAACTTCTTGATTTCTTCCTCAATTTCATTATTTACCCAAAAGTAACTCAGGGAGAAGATTGCTGAATTTCCATGTAGCAGTATGGTTTTCAGTGAATTTCTTAATCTTGAGTTATAGTTTGATTGTGCTGTGGTCTGAGAGACTGCTATGTTTCATTTTTTTTTTTTTTGGATTTGCTGAGGAGTGTTTTACTTCTGATTATGTGATCAATTTTAGAGTAAGTGCCATGTGGCGATGAGAAGAATGTATATCCTGTTGTTTTGGGGTGAAGAGTTCTGTAGATATTTATCAGGTCCACCTGATCAAGAGCTGAGTTCAGGTCCTGAATATCTTTGTTAGTTTTCTGTCTTGGTGATCTATCTAATATTGTCAGGGGGATGTTAAAGTCTCCCACTATTATTGTGTGGAAGTCTAAGTGTCCTTGAAAGTCCCTAAGAATCTGCATTATGAATCTGGGTGTTCCTGTATTGGGTGCATATATATTTAGGATAGTTAGCTCTTCTTGCTGAATTGAACGCTTTACCATTATGTAATGTCTTTCTTTGTCTTTTTTTGGTCTTTGTTGGTTTAAAGTCTGTTTTGTCAGAAATTACGATTATAACCCATTTGTTTCTATTTTCCATTTGCTTGGTAAACTTTCCTCCATCCCTTTCCTTTCTGATGAAAATTTGCATTAAATGTCCCACCATTGAAATTAGGTTTATTAGAGATTAAATCTAGAATGCCATCTGCAAAAAAAAAAAAAAAGTTTTAAATTAGGTTACTTGTTTCACTAGATCCTCATACTCTATCATGCAAAGACAAAATATACTTTATTTTATGCTATTTATCTTGAATATCACCAATTTCATTAATAAGAATTTATGATACCGAATTAAAAAAACTACTCGTTTCACCAGTGATAGTTATTTAGGTTTGCCAGATTTAGCAAACAGATATACAAATAATGAAATATAAATTTCAAATAAACAATTTTTAAAGAATATATATATGGCTTGTGCATTAATTGGGAAAATAGTTACACAAAAGTAACACGTTATCTTTCTTAGCTGAAATTCAAATGTAATTGGTTGTCCTATATTTTATCTGGCAACCCTATACCTATTTCCAACATTCATTATGGCACTTACCAAAAGCTATATTATGGATCATTTACTCATGCAATAAATATTAATTAAGCACCTACTCTGAGTCATGCTCTGTTCTATAAATTGAAAATATAACTATCAATAAAAAGAATCTTTACTCATAGAAATTACACTCTAAGAGGAAAGACTAACAATTTTAAAAGTCTGCATGAATACCTTAAATACTATACTAAAGATGATTAGGGCCATTAAGAACAAAAAGCAAGAAAAGGGAATGAGAAAAGGAAGGCAAATAGTATATTAAAGGTGATAACAGGCAACAAAGGTGATAACAGCCATTAAGAACAAAAAGCAAGAAAAGGGAATACAAAAAGGAAGGTCAGTTGAAAATGTTTAAATGAGAAACCAAAAGACCTCCTTGTGTTTACATTTGAATAAAGACCCAGACAGAATGGGGTCTTGCAGACATTTTGGGGTAAAGCAGCGGGAACAGAAGAAACAGTAAGTGAAAGACCCTAAGGTAGACACCTGCTTCATCTGTTTTGGAGGAGCGACAGGAGGCCCTCTCAGGTTGGAGCCTCTCTGGTGAGAGCAGAAGGGAAGGGAGAAGAGTGATGGGTTGAGGTAGGCTATTTTGAAGAACCTTGTAGATTTACTTAAGGGCTTTGGTATTTAATCAGAGTACATTATAAAGCGTTAGAGGAACACAAATAGTTAAGTCATTTGATAGCTTTCTTTGAAGTGTAGCAATGCTAGCTGACCACCTTTGCTGGGAGAATTCTTGAAGAGGGTAACTAATTAGGATAATTGACCATGCGGAGTCTGTCACTGAAACTAATGTACATTTATATATCATGATGACTTAGCTAAATAGAATTAAATGGCACATATCTTAATAGTAAAAAGTCAAAATATAAAATCATTTTATTTGCTGACAAGTATTTTTATAGCCAGTAGTAGCAAATGTACTACTATATAATACTAGCTACCATCTTTTTGCATGCCATTTGAATGTTCTATCCTCTCTTAAAAATAATTTTTGGGTCTAGTGAAGCCTTAATCCCAGCACTTTGGGAGGCCAAAAAAGGAGGATTGCCTGAGCCTAGGAGTTCAAGCCCAGCCTGGGCAAAACAGGGAGACCCCCTTCTCTACAAAAAAATAAAAAAAAAAATTTGGGCATGGTGGTACATCCATGTAGTCCCAGCTACTCCAGAGGCTGAGGTAGGAGGATTGCTGGGGTCTGGGAAGTCTAGGCTGCAGTGAGCTGTGATCACACCATTGCATCCCAGCATGGGTGATAGAGATCCAGTCTCAAAAATAAAAATAATAATAATACACAAAACTTTGGAAAAGCAATCTATGAGGGCTTGGAAAAACAATTCATCCAAACCTACCAAATTGTTTTGGTACATTTTTGTCAATTTTCATTTCCTTGAATTTTATGCTTTTTTAAAAATTACAGTGATCCAAATTAATTTAGTGGAAGCAAAAAGATTGATCAGATAATTAAGTAAACATTTTTGGAACCCTTGTACACAGTTGGGGGGAATTCAAAATGGTGTAGCTGTTATGAAAAAAACATGGAGATGCCTCTAAAGCTTAAAAATAGAACCACTATATGATCCAGCAATCCCACTTCTCAGTATTTATTCAGAAGAATTGAAATCAGGATCTCAAAAATATATTAGCATTTCCATGTACATTGCAGCAGTACTCTCTGTAATAGTAATTTTGGTTGTTGTGGAAACAAGCTAAATGTGCATCAAAAGAGGAATGGACAAAACAAAATGTGGTATATACATACAATGGAATATCATTCAACTTAAAAAAAAAAAGAAAATCCTACATTATGAGCCAATATGGATAAAGCCGGAAAACATTATACTAAATGAAATAAGCCAATCATGCAAGGACAAATACTACACCATTGCATTTACATGAAGTAACAAATATAACCAAACTCACCTAAGCAAAAAGTAAAATGGGAGTTGTCAGAAGTCTGGGGGAAGGGCAAATGGAGAGTTACTAATTAACAGATATAAAGTTTCAGGTATTCATGATGAGTAAGTTCTAGAGATCTGCTGTACAATATTGTGCCTGTAGATAACAATATTGTATTGTATGCTAAGTAATCCGTTAAGAGAGTGGCTCTGATGTTGTGCTTTTACCACAATAGATATAAAACAAAAAGTATAATAAATTAGCTCCTGACTATTCATGAACTTGTCTTGTATATATACAGTATTTGGCTTTATTATTTGTGCTTTGAATAAATAACATTTTATCACATTAGTAAAATGGTTTAGGGTTGTTTAATTAGAATGCAGAAATAGTGATATGAATTAATCTAATTTTTATTCTTGATTATAAATCTACTTATATTTAAAATTTAGAGATGATGAATCTTTTCTTTTATTCATTTCTTGATTAATTCTTTTACTCAAATGAATGAGATACTTCTTAATTTTTTGAAGTTTTGTGCGTACATAATAGCTGTATATATCTATGGGATACATGAGCTATTTTGATACAGGAATGCATGTGTAATAATTACATCTCAAAAGTGAAGTGTGCACTCCATCAAGCATTTCTCCTTTGTATTACAAACAATCCAATTATACTCCTAGTAATTTTATAATGTACATGTAAATTATTTTGACTATAGTTGCCCTTGTTGTGCTGTCAAATACTATGTATCGTTCATTCTTTCTATTCTTTTGGGTACCTATTAACTGTCCCCACTTACCCCCTAGCCCCCACTGCCCTTTCAAGCCTTAAATAACCATTCTTTTACTCTCTATCTCCATGTGTTTGATTGTTATAAATTTTACATCCCACAAATAAGTGAAAACATGAGATATTTGTCTTTCTCTGCCTGGCTTATTTTACATAACATAATAACCTTGGTTCCATCCATATTGTTGCAAATGACAGGATCTCATTCATTTTTATGGCAGAATAGTACTCAATTGTTTGTAAGTGCCATATTTTCTTTATCCATTTATCTGTTGATGGACACTTAGGTTACTTCCAAATCTTGGCTATTGTGAACAGTGCTGAAGCTAACATGGGAGTCAACATCTCTTCAATATACTGATTTCCTTTCTTTTGGGTATATACCCAGCAGTGGGATTGCTAAATTATCTTGTAAGTCTATTTTTAGTTTTCTGAGGAATCTTCAAACTGTTTTCCATTGTGGTTGTACTAATTAACATTCCCACCAACAGTGTACAAGGGCCCCTTTCCTCCACATCCTCTGCAGCCTTTGTTATTGCCTGACTTTTGGATATAAGTCATTTTAACTGGGGTAAGATGATATCTCATTGTAGTTTTGATTTGCCTCCTCATATGATCAATGATATTGAGCACTTTTTCATGTGCCTGTTTTCCAATTGTGTGTCTTCTTTGAAGAAATGTCTATTCACACATGTGACACTATTCACAATAGAAAAGACATGGAGTCAATCTAAATGCCCATCAATAACAGACTTGATGTATTGGAGATGCATTTTATGTTATATGTTTCTTTTCTCTTGTTGTTTTAGGATTCGTTCTTTATTCTTCACCTTTGGAGTTTGATTATTAGATGCCTTAAGGTAGTCTTCTTTGAAATAAATCTGCTTGGTGTTCTATAACCTTGTACTTGAATGTTGATACATTTATCTAGGTTTGAGAAGTTCTCTGACATTTTCTCTTTGAATAAACTTTCTACCCTTATCTCTTCCTCTACTTTTAGTAGATAAATAACTCTTGTAGTAGATAAATAACTCTTTAGTTATTTTAGTAAATAGTAGTAGATAAATAACTCTTTAATGCCAGTAACTCTTGGATTTGCCCTTTTGAGGCTATCTTCCAGATGTGACAGGCGTGCTTCATTATTTTTTATTTTTTTCTGTTATCTCCTCTATTTATTTTCATATAGCCTACCTTCAAGCTCATTTATTATTTTTCCTGCTTGATCATTTCTGCTATTGACTCTGATAAATTCTTCAGCATGCCAATTGCATTTTTTGACTCTGGAATCTGCTTGAGTCTTTAAAATTATTTCAATCTCTTTGCTAACTTTGTATGACAGAATTCCTATTTAATTTCTCTGTTATTTTGAATTTCTCTGAGTTTCCTCCAGCTATTTTGAATTTTCTGTCTTGAAGGCCATATTTCTCTATTTCTCTAGGATTGGTCCCTGGTGACTTTCTCTGTTTCATTTGGTGAAGTCATGATTGCCTGGATGATCTTGATGCTTGTAGATGTTCATCTGTGTCTGGACACTGAAAAGTTAGGTGCTTATCTTATTCTTCACCATCTGGGCTTGTGTGTGCCTGTCCTTCTTGATAAGTCTTTCCAGGCACTTGAAGAGACTTGGGCACCAAGCCCAAGACCACTGTCATTTTTGCAGACTTGTATAGGTACTTAGTGCTTCTGTGGTCCTGAATAAGATCCAGAATTCTCTGGATTACCAAGAAGAGATTCTTGTTCTTTTCCCTGACTTTCTCCCAAACAAGCAAAGTCTGTCTGTGCTGAGCTTCCTGGAGTTGGAGGTGTGGTAATGCAAGCACTCCTGTGACCACCAGCACTGTGACTGCACTGGCTCAGACCTGAAGCCAGCAGAGCCCTGTTTCTTCCCAAAGCCTGCTGTAACCACTCCCTGGCTACCATCTATGTTCACTCAAGGGTCTAGGGCTTTACAGTCAGCAGGTGGTAAAGCCAGCCAAGTTTGTCACCTTCTCTTCTGGGTGGCAAGATCCCCCAGGCTGCAGGAAGGTCCGGTGATGCTGCCTGAGAGCCAGGTTTTATAGTCAAAAATCTTAGAAACTTGCCTGATGTTGTTTTCTACTTCAGCTAAGCTGGCACTCAAACCAAAATATAAAGTCATTCCTGCTTTTCCCTCCCCTTTCCACAGGAAGAGGAGCCTCCTCCACCACCAGCCAAGGGCTGGGGGAGGAGGTGGTTCTGCCAGGCCATTGTTGATGTTCATTTATAGCCCATAGTCTCTTCAGTCAGCTTGTGGTGAATTCTGCCAAGCCTAAGACTTGTCCTTCAGGGCAATGAGCTCCCCTCTGGCCTAAGGCAGGTCTAGAAATGCTGTCCAAGAGCCTGGGCCTGGACTTGGGGACCCAAAGAGCCTGCTTAGTGCTCTACCCCAGTGGCCTTGCTGGTACGTAAGATGCAAAACAAAGTCCCTTTTACTTTTTCTTCTGCTTTTCTCAAACAGGAGTCTTTCACCACAGCCGCCATGGCTAGGAATATGCTGGGTCACACCTGTTGGCAGCACATCTCAGAGCCCAAGGCCCATGACTTACTACCTGGGTATCAGTGGTGGTTACTGAGGGCCCAAGGGCTATTTAGTCAGTAGGTGATGACTCCTTCCCTTCAAGGCAATAGGTTCTCTTTTGGCCCAAGGTGTGTCTAGAAATGTTGTCTGTTAACTAGTCATGGCAGCCCCACAACACTGCCCAGTCCCCTACTCTACTGTGTCTGATCCGGTATCCAAGATGCAAGACAAAATCCTCTTTAGTCTTCGCTCTCCTCTTCTTAAGCAGAAGGGAGGAGACACTTTCATTGCTCTGAGCTGCACTGCCTGGGTTTGGAGGAGGAGTGACTGAAGCACTCCATTAGATGCCCTGACTGGTGTCACCATAGATCATGTGCCACCCTAGTTCTCTGGCTCTGACTCCAGCCCAGCAATAGGAGTTGCCTAGGAATTGTAGTTCTTGTGTCCTAGATTGTCTTTCAAGTTTACCTCAGACCCCAGAGCATTTTGACTCACTGTGGCGAGGATTGCTGAGATTCTCAAGCTCCAAAACATGGGATGGGCAATCCTGTCTGACTAGATCTGATCTAAATGTTCCCTCTGTGTATGGGCACTGACTGAACCCAATAAGGCTTTACTCTCCGCTATGGCAGCACTGAGTTCAATATGATGTCCTCCAGTCACTGTACTCTCCATCTCTCAAGTGCACAGATTCTCTCTTCATGCTGCACAGCTGCTGCCAGGGGGTGTGGGAGAGGTGGCATTGGCAGTTCAAGACATTTTCTCCCACCATCCTCAATGCCTCTTTCAATGATATGAAGTTAGAACAAGGTACTGTGATTGCTCATCTGATTTTTAGTTCTTATACTGGTGCTTTCCTGTGTGCAGGTTGTTGTTAAAATGTGATGTTCCTGTGGGGGTTTGGGAGGAAAGAATGATGTAGGCTTTTATTCAGCCATCTTGCTCTGCCCTTGAGATACATTTTGGGAGGGAAACTGAAATGAATAAGAAACGTCTCTAGAGTTATGTTTTTTTATTGCATTTCTTGCCATATTGTGGGTCATAAAACTCACTGCCACCAGGATTATGTTTTTATTAAAATAAACATGTAATAGAATGTAACAGAATAGGTTAAAATAAAATTCAATGTATAAGAGAATATTGTACATAAAATGAGTATGGCTTCAGGGAATGTTCGATACATGATGTAGGATTGTGGTTTCTGTTTGCAAAGTACACGTAAGTGTTTAACTGTGGACACAAAACAAAACTTTAGAAAATAGTTATCTCAATACTATCTGATATTTGTATAGGCATATTTATTGTAAAATCAATAATTTAAGAAGTTATAGGCAAATTGTTATAGATGAATCTTCATGGGAAAGATGACAGAAAACAATATATAATACATATCTGGACCTTGATTATGAGGTTAAAAGATAAATATGGCAGGAAAGTGGGGATTAGGCAGAAAGAACACTGAAAAAATATAAAGCATAAAATGTGGAAAATATAATGAATGCTCGCACAATAGTGAGGCCTTATTTAAGAATACAGCTTGATGTATTTTATATTTATATACCAATGTAAAATAAGAGGTAAATATATAAAACATTTCCATAACCAGGCAGTTTTCTGTGCCCACTTCTAATTTTCCTTACCAACGTTTTTTGACTTATTTCACTGTAAATTCCATATATTCTGGAACTTCATATACATATAATCAATCCTACAGTGTGTTTTCTATGCCTGACTTCTTTTCAGCAACATTGTGTTTTTAAGATTCTTCCACATTGCTGACTGCATCAGGAGTTTGTTCATTTTTTTATTCCTAAGTAGTGTTCTATTTTATAAATTATTCTTTTCTTGGATATTTGCATTTGTGTGTGTGTGTGTGTCTGATTACTACGGAGGTTAAAATATGCAATATTAATTTATCAAAATTTAAATTTACTTAAATTATACTTCTTCAAAATGAAAATCATAACTTTATAATACTGTGCTTTCATTCAACTTTTCTTCCACTGTTTGTGATATTTTCTCATATATTATACTTTTAAATTATTAACCACACAATACATTGTTATTCATTTTGTCCACACTTTTACTCTCTTCAAGGATCTTTTTCTTTTTTTATAGAAATGTAAATTCATACTTTAATTTGGTTTTGTTCTACTTTAACCTGAAGAACTTCAACAATTCTTGTACAAGTATACAGGTTTTGTCTGCCTATGTCTTTATTTTCTTTAAGTGCTTTTTCTTTGTATTGGGAATCTAGCCTATAATTTTTTTTCTTATGCTTTTTTCTTTTCCATATTTTAATGATGCTTTTATCACCTCCTAGCTTTCAATGTTTCTAATGAAAATTTGACATTATTCTTATTATTATGTGTCTGATTGTAATATTTATTGTTTCTAGCTGCTTTGAAGGTTTCTCTGATTATCTTTGCATTTCAGCAGATTTTACTGAAATGTTATGCTTTTCTTGGGTGTCGCGGTCTTGGATCTGTGGGTAAATACTATTCACTAATTTCAGAAAATATTCAGACATTGTAATTTTAAATGCTTTTTCTTCTCTTTTTCTAGAAATCCATTTCCATATATGTTAGATATCTTGAACATCTTTTCATATGACTTAGAGTCTCCATTCTTTTTCTAAAAATGTCTGTTCTTCAATTTAGCTAATTTATATTAACCTACTGATGAATCACTTATCTTTTCTTCTTTTTTATCTGTTGTTACACCCATCTAATATTTTTAAGATCAAATATTGCAGAATTTTAGTTCTAGAATTTTTATTCGGTTCATTTATTAAAGCTTTTGTTTTTATGCTGAAATTCTGTACATATTCTTTTATTCAGTAGCTTAATTTTTCCTGTAAGTTCTGCCATTCTCTGGGTAATCTGGACAATTTTTGTGTCATCTTTTATTGTCAGTTTTTTTATTTGACTATAGTCCACACTTTCCTGCTAATTCATAGTCACACACATGCACGCATGCACACACACACACACATCTGTGTAAGATGCCAGGCACTTTGCATAAAATAACAGTTGAGAATAGTATATTTTCTCATGAAAGGCTTTGCTCTTTTTTTCCCCAGATGGCTAGAGTGAGGGTTTGTTCTCTTTAATAAAACTAAGAATTGAATTGAGCCAGAGCTGAAATGCAACTTTTTAAAGTGTCAGTTCTATACTGAGATCCTGCATCTCAGGGTGGGATAAGGACACTTGTACTATCAGTATTTGGGACCTAGCCATCCTAAGAAGACAGGAGCCCTTCCAACTTCCCTGCTCAGCACCAATGCACAATTAGTAAAATCTCATGGGGGTGATTTGGTGAACTTTAAGATCTAGCTTTTGTTTAGGATACTCTCTCTAACAGAGTGTCCTTCTCTACTTATTCCTTTGTTTCTTCTATGGGAGATTAGCTTCTTCATCCACCTCTGTCACCACGAATAAAAATAGGCTAGGCTCTGCTCACCTAAGAAATGCTCAAAGCACTTGTCTTTTAGATTTCTTTTTCTTTAGCTCTCTGATAGGTTTTATTAAAGTTCTGATTGCATGAATTACATGGTATTCTTTCATTGTAATAGTAGGATAGTTGGTTTTTCACATATGCATCCTAACCAGAAGCAAAGTTGAGTATTTTTATTTTTTTCTGAAATGTATGTGCGGTTTGAGAGAAAGGTGGAGGAAAAAAGATTTCGAAGTCACTTGATGGGTGCATACAAATCTTGATGAGATTGCTAGTTCCCTAGATTTTATTATATGGACAAAAGCAATAATCCAAATATTTTAAGTTACTCTAGTAGAAATATACATTAATATTCATATGAAAAGATACAGAAGCCAATTAAAGGATAGTTATATAGGAAAACTTTTAAAGAGAGTAATTTGTGTATTTTCTAATGTATTTGCCTTACTCACCTCTTGCAGTAATTCTAATATGATTAAATCTGTTAAGTCCAATATTAATGTAAAGTTTGTACTTACAAACTTTATTTATAAACATTTACATAAAACTTTACATATAAATCATTTTACGTGTCACTACGTAGCAGTAGAGAGCGTAGGAAAAAACAAAATTTACTTGTGATATTTATTTGTCTTATTTCACAAACCACAGATTTGTGAAGCAGGCTTACTGTGCACTGGTTACCAATCTGTCTGAGTCCAGTGATACAGAACATACTCATATATAACAAGTTAGAAGAAGTGGATTTATTGCTTACAGTTAGGCAGCAATAAAAGGAGTCTAGAATCCATAGTGAGTTGGTCCTCCATAGATCCAAAAGCTGTCCTAGGTAGATGAAGCCTTGATTGCATGTGCCCCACTTGCACCATAGATAAAGGACCCCCAAAGGCCTGGGGCCACCTGGGGGCCATGAGAATTAGTGGGCAAAGCCTTGATAAATATCCTGCTTCCAGGGGAGAGAGGAACGAAACTCAGGCTGTCCTGGGCAGTTCCTTCCTAACTCAACATGCCATGTTTCCTTGAAGGAACAATAACAAGGTATGAGCTGTTTTAAGCAGTTCTACCCTATCTCAGAATAATGAATTCTCAGCACATTCTAGAGTTATTTGAGAACCATGAACAAGAAATGGGGGAAAACTAGGTGGGTCCACCGCCACCCAGAGAACTGTTCTGCAGTATTATGTACAGAGATAATATTTTCTGAGCTAATCGCTAATTGTTTACAAAGGAAGGTAAATTATTTAATGGCTAATTTGTGCTTCTTGCTAGTATTTCTTGGATCAATATTTTAATTATTTATTTAACAATGTACAAGGACAGTCTAGAAGTAACTAAAAATCAGTAACTCTTTTTTCGACTTCTCCAAAGTTTACCTATTATCTTTTCTCCCATTTCAGAAAACTGTATGTTCTTTTTTTACTTGCCTGATGAATTTACCCAGTGGAAAAAAATATGTTATTTGGAAAGCTATTACTATCAGCCATTTATATCTTTCTGAAAATCAAAATCCATATTTTGTTAATAGGGCTATTTACATTTTGTTTCTACTTAAAACAAGGGTTAGAAATTGTTTTCTTTTAAAATAAAATTACAATACATTTGTGATGGTTCTGCTCTGAGAAATATCCATGGTATCCACAGACTACCTTGTGGATTAAGTCATTCGTCTTACTCAATATTTTCTATGCTGTTGACATGGAGTTAAAATGAACTCCAAAGAAAGTCTATGTGAATGTTTGTGAAAGTTTTGCGTCTTTTGCTCATGGCAAAAACCAGGAATAATTTGTTTAAAATATGTGTGTAGGGGACTATATATTTTGCAGAAGGCGTGAATATCATATTGCCAGCACCAACGTTCAAGAAATACATAATTTTGTTTTCATCATGGTAGTGAGAAATTTAAGCTCAGCTATTGATATTTCTTCCGTTTTTCTAATAATCACTTGAGTTGAAATGAAGGTCGCAATGTTCTGATAAAATGCAAACTATTGGCATAAGGTTTATACTATAAAGCCACACTACTGAATTAATGCACGTTTTATAACCTTCTGTGGTCACTAAAGAGGGTGTCTCTGTTCTTTTTTAATCAAGCTCGAGTACAGACTTTTTTAATGAAGCTTTTAACCCCAATGCCAGGGTTGTCTGGGTACAGCCATGCTGCTCTAACGCATTTCAACAACTCAGAAAACTTTAAGACTTGCTTTTTCACGTTCTTAGCTGAGTGTGTTTATTGGTCAAGTTTTTAATGATGACAAAGTACAATTTATATATATTTTTCTTTTGTTTTATCTTTTTGTGTCCTGCCTAAAATATCTTGGCATGCTAGAAAGTAGTAGAGATATTTAGGTTTATTCTTCATAAATTATTATTTTCATATTGTCAGATTTTTTTGTTCCTCTTGAATTTTACTAAATGTGTGCAAAAATTATTGACTGTATATGAGTGGTTTTATTTCTGGATTTGCTATTTTGTTCCATTTATTTATTTGTTTTTTATGATTATATCATACAGCCTTAATAATTTTTGAGCCTTGCAACCATGTAGTGTTATGTATGCTAATTCTGTACTTTTTTGAAAAATGTTTTAGTTATTCTGTATCCTTTGCATTTTTGTATAAATTTTAGTATACGCTTGATAATTTCAAGGAAATGATTGATTGGATTTTAACTGGTATTGCTTTTTAATCTTTAGATTAATTTGGAAATAATTGACATCTTAGTAATTTTGAGTGTTCCATTATATCATCCCACTCTTTGATTCCTCTTAGTAAGTGTTTTATAATTTTAATTATATTTACTGCTAAACTCAGCTTACTAAAATTTTTTGGAGGGGACTTTTTTTCTTATTTATTTATTATATTACTTTAAGTTCTGGGGTACATGTGCAGAACATGCAGTTTTGTTACATAGACATACACGTCCCATGGTGGTTTGCTGCACCCATCAACCCATCATCTACATTAGGTATTTCTTCTAATGCTATCCCTCTCCTAGCTCCCCAACCCTCAACAGGCCCTAGTGTGTGATGTTCCCCTCCCTGTGTCCATGTGCTCTCATTGTTCAACTCCCACGCATGAGTGAGAACATGCGGTGCTTGGTTTTCTGTTCTTGTGATAGTTAGCTGAGAATGATGGTTTCCAGCTTCATCCATGTCCCTGCAGAAGCCATGAACTCATTATTTATTTATTTATTTATTCATTTTTTGAGACGGAGTCTCGTTCTGTCGCCCAGGCTGGAGTGCAGTGGCACGATCTCGGCTCATTGCAAGCTCTGCCTCCCGGCTTCGCGCCATTCTCCTGCCCTAGCCTCCCGAGTAGCTGGGACTACAGGCGCCCGCCACTGTGCCTGCCTAATTTTTTGTATTTTTAGTACAGACGGGGTTTCACCGTGTTAGCCAGGGTGGTCTGGATCTCCTGACCTCGTGATCCGCCCCGCTTGGCCTCCCAAAGTGCTGGGATTACAGGCTTGAGCCACCTCGTCCTGCGGAATGCATCCTTTTTTATGGCTGCATAGTATTCCCTGGTGTATATGAGCCACATTTTCTTTATCCAGTCTATCATTGATGCGCATTTGGGTTGGTTCTAAGTCTTTGCTATTGTGAATAGTGCCCCAATAAACATACATGTGCATGTGTCTTTATAGTAGAATGATTTATAATCCTTTGGGTATATACCCAGCAATGGAATTGTTGGGTCACATGGTATTTCTGGTTCTAGATCCTTGAGGAATTGCCACACTGTCTTCTACAATGGTTGAACAAATTTACACTCCCACCAACAGTGTAAAAGCGTTTCTATTTCTCCACATCCTCTCCAGCATCCGTTGTTTCCTGACTTTTTAATGATCGCCATTCTAACTGGCATGAAATGGTATCTCCTTGTGGTGTTGATTTGCATTTCTCTAACGACCAATGTGATGAGCATTTTTTCATATGTTCGTTGGCCACATAAATGTCTTGTTTTGAGAAGTGTCTGTTCATATCCTTCACCTACTTTTTGATGGGGTTGTTTGTTTTCTTCTTGTAAATGTGTTTAAGTTCCTTGTAGATTCTGGATATTAGCCCTATGTCAGATAAATAAATTGCAAAATTTTTCTCCCATTCTGTAGGTTGCATGTTCACTCTGATGATAGTTTCTTTTGCTGCGCAGAAGCTCTTTAGTTTAGTTTTTCCTTCTGTTTGGTTTTTACTTCCTATTATGCCCCAATCTGACTACAACATCTAAGTCTACCCTTCTCAGCAGTTCCCTTTTGGGTCATTACCCATGGCACTAAAAAGAAATGAGTGACAATTTTTTCATTCTATTATACAAAAGAAGCCAGTATTGCTTAATATAGAAACCAATAATATATATACTACCAAACTCTATGTTAGGAACAAATAGTATATATAGTTTGTGTTTATCTGAATGTATTATATATGTATAAATATGTATATATAAATATCGTGTGTATATATAGTATATTTATGGGGTATATATACAGTGTGGAAATATATATATAGTATTTATATATAAAATATTTGTGTATGTGTGTATATATATATTGCATGTGTGTGTATATATCACAAGTTTAAGCAGTTACCCATCCATGGAGCATGATGTAGCATCTTTAGAGAAGAGTTATTGTTTTAAATGATATTCTTAAAAAAATCATTATGAACTTAGAACGAGATGGCCACCAAAATAAAGTATGAACATTAAAAATAAAATAAAATTACTATCTCTTATAAGATTAAAAATGTTGTCAAAATTCAATGAATTATTAAGGTACAATATTGCCTTCACTTTCCAATGAATAGATATACATTCTAAAAATGTGTTGGCTGTAAATTATTACTTTAAAATGTTACTCATGTATAAGAATTTTCACAATTCTAAACAGGAAGGGGTTAAAGAGAAGTTGGTTAAAAGGTAGAAAAATATTGTTAGATTGAAAGCATAAATTATAGTTAACAATAATTTATAGTATTTTTCAAAATTGCTAAAAAAAGAATTACAATGTTCCCAATATAAAGAAATGATAAATATTTGAGATATCATTGCACATTATATACATGTATCAAAATACTACTTATGCCCTCAAAATATGTACAATTATATAGCAATAGAAAAATTAAAAAGTCAATAAAATTATTTTTGATTTTCTAAAATTAAGATATCTGACCCACAAGGGTTTCTACTAAACTTGAAATATACATAAGAACATTGTCTCAAAATTTAACATTTTAATCTTCTCAAATTGTCCCATTCTCTTCCATATATTTTCTCAAATAAATAGAAGAGTTTAAATTCCCTTTCATTCATTTTTTATAATATCTCTTTGCTTTGGATGTTTTTAATCATGCCACTGGCTTTGTTTTTCTTCATATTGTATGAGGTCGTTGCTCATTTTTCCATATGGATGTCCAGGCTTTGTTGTTGTTGTTGTTCCTCATTGAATTTTAGTGAATGTAAAAAATTATTGACTCTATATGCGTGGTTTTATTTCTGGATTTGCTATTTTTGTTCAATTTATTTATTTGCTTTTTATTGTCATATCATACAACCTTAATGATCTTTGAGTCTTGCAACCAGGTGGTTGAAGTATACTTTGTACTTCTTTTTTGAAAATTGTTTTAGGTATTCTGGATCCTTTTCTTCACCCCTTGCAAGTACTTTACATTCAGAAAATACATGACTCCATCTCTCAACATTCAAACTTACACAGCTTTGACAGGGTCGTGATTAAAGAATGTAGATTCTCTTCATATGTTTTAACTCAATATTATAAAGAGAGCCTACCTTTGGTACTTACCACTTAAAGTGCATAAACTGAGAAAATAATAAAGCCAGCCAGCAATAATATATTATTCAATAAAAATAGTTTTGTATTTTCTTTATGAAACTGTGTTTTTTATACGATGGATGTTTTATGTTTTAAAAATAAACTATTTATAAATGTATCTCTTTTTCAAATAAAACAGTAGCCATTCTAAAATCTATTGCTTTGCAATCAAACCACCATGACCATTCACAAATAAAGAAATTATTTTATTTTGCAGCGATAAGTTACAGATCAGGAATATTTCAGTGTTCTAAGAGAATATTGTGCACTGTATTTAGGTTAAGGATGAATATATTCACTAAAAAACATTTTGTATTTGAAATTCTCAGGTATTCCTTTTTACGGTTTGAAAATAATGCTATAAAAGTCATATGAAGGAAATAATACTTTTATCGATAAGAATGTAAAAGATTAAGATTTATAAAAATGTATAGACTTTGACAAACTTCCCAAAGTGAAACAGGCAAACAAACTTATTTAAATCTTTTAAAAAATGCAGTCTCCATTTAGAATATATCAAACAGGCAACCTGAATACCTGAATCAATACTTCGATAAACTAAATATGTACTTCACTCAGAGGATCTCTATTTTATACAATTTTATTTTTTCTGAAAAGATGGGTTGTTTGTTGAGACTAATTTAATCAACTGATTGGTCATTATGTGGACAAAGTTTACCCTTATAATTAATAATTTACCAAATTATAGATTTGTTGCTGTCATCTTCATTTCAATGATTTCCTAAAGTTAGTATAGGCCTTTGAATATTGACAAAAATAAAGGAAGAATACTCTTTAAAATATAGTTTCTGTGCAAAACTATTTATGCTAATTTGGTTTTCTATCATTTAACACTTGTAAAGAACATTTCTTTACATGTAATGACTACACATTTATTATTTTATGTTACTTTATCCCAAAACAGACAATATATCTAGGATCTTACAAAACTATCTTTACCTTCTACCAAAGCTATTAGGCCTGCTGGAATCAGGTCATTACTATTCTTGATTATGTAAAAATATATATAGGAAATTCATGTTTAAAACTATTCTCTCTTTGGCTTCAAATAGACACTACCTATTGGAATTAAGATACTAGGCAAAATATTTTGTGAAGGCTTCAGATATAATTGACAGTAAAGAGAAAACTAATGAAGAAAAGATATGATAACTAAGATAAACATCATAATAATGAAACAGCCAATTAATAATAGTTGAAAACAAACATAAATTCTGGTGAAAACATTCAAAATAAGAGGTATCTGGGAGGGAAAATATGATAACCAAAAGAGAAAATTAAAAAAATGAAAGAACAGAGTGATCATACTCTGCAAGAAAAAACATAAAAAGGAGAGAAAGTATATCAGACTCTTAGATTGTATTAAATTGAAATGTTACTGTAACTAATCTAGATTGATGTCTTCCCATTCAGTTATTTCTGTACAGTGAACAGGATGATAGTCTTCTTCATCTCAAGGTAATAGGATCATATAGTCATCATTTTTGTTTTAATTACTCAAGAATAATTTTAGTTATTTTTGGTATATATTAAGTTTGTAAATATTTTAAGTATATTAAAGTTTCATTTAAAGAACATAATGGTCTACCACAGAAGAGTCATGCATGGATATTTGAAAAAATAAATTTAATGATAAATGTATACATATAGTTGATAATATAATTTGTAAAATCTTGTTCTCTTTGCAAAATTTATTTATGGAATTTACATAAGTCGCATAGTATATAACACATACAACTTGGTATATCTCAAGCACGAAAACAGAATATTTTCTTTCTTACAGAGGTATTTTTCCTCATGAGAAGCTACTTTACTGTGAATTTGAATAAAAATTATTTAATGTATAATGATCATTGAAATTTGTTGCATTATAAAGAGTAGGTAATGCACGTACTATTTTGCATTTATATTTATGTTAGTGTTCTAGAGTTTGTATTTATATTTAATATTCTAAAATATGTATTCATGTGTAATCTGGAAAATAAAAAATTTCACTCATATTTTCTTGGTATTGCCATCTTTTTCAAATTGGAAAGAATTGCAAAACATGCCATCGAGGAATCTAGAATTAAATATGTAGATTTTCTTTTTTCCTTTGTTTTAAACCAAAACACATTTAAATACACACCGTTTCACCATTTGAACCAGATTTTGGCTCTAATTATATGCTAAGGACTGGGAGATGGCTATAATGTTGGAGAATTATAGATGATATACTTCCATGCCTTAAAACTGCTGTAAATTATTAGCAAGAACTAATCTGGAAATGGTTGAAGCAAATCCAAATTTTTCTATTTCTATTAGTCTTCTTTAGGAATCCATTACTTTAACACCTTCAGAAGACCAGTTTTGTATAAAATATTTTGAGGCTTCTATTCAGACATTTAAAAAACTAAGTCCACTTACCTTTTCTGATTATTAAATTCATATATGCTCTTTGTAAATCACAGAAAACTGTAAACAAGGAAATAATAGATTATCTTCCTATCACCCAAATATTAATCATAATTAATGATAGATTTTGCTGTTATTACCTCCCAGTCTTTACACACACACACACACACACACACAAACCACTTAGCCATTTATATACACGTTATAAAAGGAATCCCTATGCATTTATATATGAATTGTAAAAGTAGACCAAATGAGCTACTTTTTTAAAAATTGAGATTATTCTGTATTTATATTTTATATTTAATTATATTCTAAAAATTTTACTATGCCAATAAAATCTTTGAAGAAAATTGTCATTATTGTGCACATATTATCCATAATGTAGATAATAATTTAAACATTTTCTTCTAATTTAATGTTGTTAACTTCAATTTTTCAACATAATAAATAATAAATAAACATTATATATGTAGTCAGAAACATTTTATATTGTTAGTGATTCAAATGTATTGTTTTTTAAAAATTATGACATACTGACATATTCATTTTCAGTGGGTGATATAATTTTTTTCTTATCCCTTGAGAACTTGATACTATGAGTGTTTTGATATTAGTTTGGTAGATGGAAATATTATTTAATATGGGACATATGCATGTACACATACAAACGTGTGTACACACATATGTATATATATTTACTTTTAATAAGAACATTTTTATATTTATTTCTTAGAAACTTGTATGAAGGCCATTTTCTTAGGTTTCTAATAAGTTGCTAATTAGGTTAAGTTTTATAAATATAGAGTGGACCTGGGCACCTGTGATCACTTAATACTGTTCAGAACTCTATGTAGGTGATCAATGAATTTTCAGTCTTTTCAAAACTGTAGAATAATTGTTCACCTATTAATGACCTAAAGTTTTAGACTTCTATTTTGTTTACAACCTGAAGAAATGAAACTCTCAGCAGAATTTTTAAGGAAATAGATTTAAACTGGTTATAAAGAAGAATAGTAGTTTTCCCCATTTTGATGCCTAATCAGTGTTACCAAATATATATGCCCTAAACTGAATTCTTGATTATTCAGTCCTTCAAATGTTTTTCTCTGCATTTTTTCTCTCTCAATGGCAACTCTATCTGATCATTTATTAGTCAAATAATAATAATTTATTGCAAATAAATTATTAGGCAAATAATTCAAAAGCCCCCCTTTTTCATATCTCATACTAACTTACATGAAAATACACCTTAGAGGACTATCCAGAATTTGACCCTTTTGCCCTTCTTACAATTATCACCATTTCCCACACCCCTCTAATCTCTTGACAGGACCATTGCAATAACCTCTTATCTGGTTTCCCAGCTGTGGCCCTTGGAGACTATTTTTAATAGCCAGCCAATGTGACATTTCTAAAATGGAACACTAAATTATGTCATTTTATGGAAAAGATCTCAGTAGCTCCTTATAGAAATAAGGAGTATACATATACCCAGAGTATATGTAAAGTTTTCCTAATGTTCGGGAAGAAAAAATATGTGATTACATAAATATCTGAAATAATTTCCATGTGGAGTATCATAAGAAACTTTCGTGTGGATAAAAAATCATTGAAGGGTAGAATCATTCACTTGTTCAACTAACTTTCTTTGTGTTTGCATGTTTAGACCAGAAATTTGCAAGATGAAAGATATACAATAAATCTTATGCAAAATGTAATGAGTCTTCATTTTCCAAGCAATAATTGTATAGCATGGAAATAGAAGCAGCGAATGTCAATGGGAATCAGCTCTGTAAAGGGAGAACATAGTTTCCAGGAGTGGACCACTACACTAAAGGACAGAGTGACCTGGGAAAATTCGTGTGATTAAAACTCCAAATGATAAGTGGAAATTAAAAAATTTAATGTGTTCAGAAAAAAAAATACTATACATAAGTATTAGCTTAAGAAGTTTCCCAGGATAGGTCTCACAAGACAGCTGTATGGTCAGGTCATTTTGGATGTGGCACTATCTGCCAGTTCAGGAGATGCAGATGGAAAGCAATAGGCAACTTTTGAAGTAACATAGGTATGATGTGGCTGGATAAGAAAAAAAAATGGTCTTGTTCCCAAAATCTGTTGGCTTTTGTGGTTCATATTAATTCATTAATAAAGATGGGAATTTGGATTGTGTTAATTTAGAAATTTAGGTTATTTTCAAGATGTTAGCACTATCTCAGCCTATGAAATCTTGTGTCTATCTTGATCTTGCTATAACAATCACTTACGTCTCTTACTCATTATATGATGCACAACTAGTGAAGGGGAAATATATTGAAATTTACTGAAGAGGCAAATTTTGATCATACTGTATTTCTTTGTTCATTTTTAAGCTCCTTAAGCCCATTAGTTCATTTTTAAATAAAAAATTGTATCCTGGAAATTTAGTAAAGAAAGGCTAAAATGATTTTTAAAAAAAAGATTAAAAGTGGACGTTTGGTATTTCAAAGGACAGATGTGGCACAAATATAAAAATAATTTCTGCCACTTGGAATACTTATGAACTTTTAGCAAAACACCGTATCTTATACAGATATCTTTACCTTCATTGTCAAAAATCATTTTCCAAATCATTACCCCTACTGATGAGATCTATCCTATATTCCACAAACGACTGCAAGAAAACTCTTATTAAAGGGCCCCTGTGCCACAGACAGTAAGAACACATCTCTTTTCTGTAGAAAGTAAATCAGTTTAATCAGTAAAACTACCTCTCACTTTCTCCAACACATATTTTTTTCTGGCACTGTGCCAGGGACTTACCATAATAATTCTGTGCCATTTACACAAGGTAAGACTGTTATTATTAGCTCCGTTTTACAGATGAAAAAACTGGCTTAGGGAGATTAAGTATTTTACTGAAGCCCCCAGCCATTACAGAGTGAACGTGAAATCTGAACTCAGAACGTCTAGAAAATAAAGCCCATCCTCTCAGTGAACCCTACGTAATAGTGCCTCTTTCAAAGTGAGAACTTCTGGCAACTGCCCAACATAATGAGTGTATATATATTCTGTTTGTGTTGTATAGGTACAGATGAAATAACTATTTTCACCCCCCAAAATCTATGACTAATGCTAATCCTTTAGCAATAAACCTGGTATTGATCAGACAAAAGAAAAGAAAGTAAATATTTTAATCCATATAGACTTGTAACTTTATTTCTGTATGCTTATTGGTAGAAAAGTTGCCAAAGAGACATTTTCTTCTGAAAATGGAGACCAAAAAAAATATTTTCAAAATTAAGTTTAGAGAGGCATCTGGCCATATGCCAAACTATAGCCTGGGACCTACAGGTACGTGTTGGGTTTGTGAGGGTGAGGATGATAAAGAAAGGGAGAATAGAATAAGGCTTCTTTCTTTTTCTTTCTTTCTTTCTTTTTCTTTCTTCTTTCTCTCTCTCTCTTTCTCTCCTTTCTCTTTTTCTTCTTTCTTTCTCTATCTTTCTCTTTCTTTCTTTCTTTCTCTTTCTCTTTCTTTCCTCTTTCTTTCTTCTTTCTTTCTTTTCTTTCTTTCTTTCTTTCTTTCTTTCTTTCTTTCTTTCTTTCCTTTCTTTCTTTCTTCTTTCTTTCTTTTTTTTTTTTTTTTTTTTTGAGACGGAGTCTCTCTCTGTTACCCAGGATGGAGTGCAATGGCGTGATCTCGGCTCACTGCAACCTATGCTTCCCGGGTTCAAGTGATTCTCCTGCCTCAGTCTCCAGAGTAGCTGGGATTACAGGCACCCGCCACCACACCCAGCTAATTTTTGTATTTTTAGTAGAAACAGGGTTTCACCAGGTTGGCCAGGCTGGTCTTCAACTCCTGACCTCAGGTGATCCACCTGCCTCGGCCTCCCAAAGTGCTGGGATTACAGGCGAGAGCCACAGCCAGCCCCGGAATAAGGCATCTTTGAGAGACTGCCTCTTTCCTAAGTTTATGAATAGGGGCATCTCTGGACTATATAACTTAATGGAACAGACTTGACCTGAAAGCCTAGGCTGAAAAGTGGGAATTGGTAAGAAAAAACTGGCTCCTATTTCCTGGGATCTCTGCATAGATTTACCCAGCAATATATGTTCCCAGAGAGCTCACTTAGTGGGAAGAGAAAATTAACATCAGTATAATCTTCTGTTGAGCGTTGCTAGGAGCACATTGTTAAAAAGTCTAGTTTCTTTTAAAGTTCATCATGTATATATTATGCCTTTACTCATGAGAGAATTGTTAGTTCCAACCTCCATTTCTAGTTCAAATTAATGTCTTTATTCTTGCCTTTCTGTCTATTGCTGGAAGCAAGTTATTCATTGTCCAAATCTTTGAGGGTTCTCTATCTAATCATGTGAAGTTAAGATGTACGAAGCCTTTGAATTCTTTCCCTCTTTGTCACAGTGAGGAGCACTGAAAACCCAGACAAAAACTGTCTAACCAGAGGCTATGCAGCACCTTCTAGTAATGCCTAGGTAGAGAAAGGTACTGATGTGGCTTGCTTTCTTTCTCTTTCTTTTACTTTCTTTCTTTCTTTCTTTCTTTCTTTCTTTCTTTCTTTCTTTCTTTCTTTCTCTTTCTTTCTTTCTTTCTTTCTTCTTTCTTTTTTCCATTTTACTGCTGTGCAAACTGTACTTCAAAACAGACATGTCATCTGTTATATTCTTATGGTCTATCCTTTTTCATTTTCCCTCCTACAGGTTACAAAAATCTCTCATTCAAGAGGAAAAAAACAACAGACATATTAATATTTCATTGGTCATTGCCAGTCATAATAAATCCATGTTATTTCTCTTCAAGGCAGCAATTAAATCAGACAAAGTTATCAGACTCTGTGTCACATTCCAAAATTATAAATCAATAATACTATTTGAAATTTTGTTGACAAAAAATTAAGATGTCATAATCTCAGACATGGAGGACAGTTTTGTTTTTACCAATGTGATGAGTGATACCAATACTAGTGTTTTTTTAAATGTTGCCATGGCTGTTAATTAATAGAATGTGGAGTAAAGGAGACACACACACATAATAAAAATTTATTAAATGAAAATAGTCCTAAATATTGTAAACAATATATTAATTTTTAAAAAGTACGTACAATCCTAGCAACAAACTGTCTGTTCTCAAATACTTGTGGTGATGTTTAATAGCTATGAGACCTTTGACAAGTAACTTAACTTTCCTATGACCAGTTTGCTTATCTATATGCTGAATAATAGCTAACTCATAGGGTTTTGTAGTGTCTGAGTTAATGCACATAAAATATGTATCTCATTACCTGATATTTCTAGGGATTCATCATTATGGACATACATGAAATCAATCAATCATCATTACCACCATGTATTTCCCTTAACTGGCAAAATTCTTAGAGACTTTATAAAATAGAAGTAAGTGTATTGCTCCATCTCAAATTAATTCTAGAATAATGATAATATTAATAACAAGATTAATAAAACTAAATCTGGATTAGACTCAGGCATTTGCCATAATACTATATTAACATTAAAAAACAAATTATAAGAATATCAGTGTAGATGTCACTAGTCAATAAAATAGAACCTTTTAGAATGAAATGATATTCTAGGAATATATTATTTTGTATTTTTGTTATATTTACTGAAGATAATCTTTATGTGGGAAGAAATGGAATGTTATAATAATGAATAGGAACTTGACAATTGAGATTGAATATTGCAGGCTCTAGTTATTTGTAATTATGATATGTTTATGTTAAAGAAATAGAGTTATGGTTTCAATAATTACTAAGTAGACCACACTTCAGTAGTAACTAAGACCCTGCTTTCCTGTGGAAACCCTGACTAGAAAGCCTGGAAGTAATACAAAAAACTACCTGAAATCACTGGAAAATAAAGAAAAGTGCATAGATTCTCATGGGGACTACATACTCAGAGGAGGAGAGGGGAAAAGCAGTATGAAGTAAATTCCTGATATTGGTGATTTTAAGCTTGGGACTAAAGAGTGAAATGTGTGTCAGCAGTAGAGACAAATACTGAGAAAAAAAAAATGTCACTCTCTGACTGAGACAATCAAGCATTTTCAGCCACTACTGTGGCCACTGAAGAGAAGAGGATCCTAGAAGGGAAAAACAAAAACTAACAAACAAAAACAAAGAAGAAATCGCATCCTATTTACTCTGATCTCTGACTGAACCATGAAACAAACATATGCAGAAAAGACACAAAGATGCTCAACTTAAAACAAAAGATTTGAACCAAGATTGGAGCTACTGCCCAAGAAAAAGAGTTTGAAATACAGTCCTACCCAAGATTTGTACTTGCCTGCTAAAGGAAAGAAAATATTTGTCAGAGAAAAATAATAGAAACCCAAATCTCTACAACATTAGATTTAGAATGGCTGAAATACGATTCAAAATTAATAGAAATATGAACTAAGAAAATGGAACATATTATCAAGGGAAACAGAAACAACTGAATCTGACCCCCAATATGAACCTCTTATTGTAACTAAAGATGGGATTTAAAAGTAGCTATTGTAATCACCTTTGATGAAATAAAACAAAGATATTCACACAGCAAACAAGTAAGAATGCTTGCGTAGAAATAAGAAGTCTCCACAGAAATATAAGAAACCTCAACAGAGAAAGTCAAATAATTAAAAAATGAAAATGTTGACAGTTTTAAAACAATGTTTGAAAACAAACAAACAAAAATGCCAATGCTCTGTTGAAGGAACTACTGACCTAGAACCATGATCAACTGATTGTCAACAAAGGCACCAAGAACACACTGGGGAAAGGATAGCCTTTTCAAAGAACGGCGTTGAGAAAACAATATTTACATGCAGAAGAATCAAACTGGACCCTTACATCACACCATATACAAAAAATCAACTCAAAATGGATAAAGATTTTAACTTAGAGAAAAAAAATCCCTGAAACTATAAAACTAGTAGAAGAAAACAGGGACAGAGCTCCAAAACATTAGTCTGGGCAATGATTTTTTGGAAAGGACTCCAAAAACACAGGCAACAGAAGCAAATATAGGCAAATGAGAAAACTTCTGCAGAGCAAATGTAACAATTAACAGAGTGTAGAGACAAGTCACAGACTGGGAGAAAATATCTGTAAATGATACATCAGATTAAGAGACCAATATTAAAAATATATAAGGAAGTCAAACAACTCAATAGAAAGAAAACAACTTCATTAAAAAAATGGTAACAGGACCTAAACAGACATTTATCAAAGAAACAGTTTATCAAAGCAAAAAGGACAAAGCTGGAGGCTTCATGTTACCTGACTTCAAACTATACTACAAGGCTATAGTAACCAAAACAGCATGATTCTGGTACCAAAACAGATGTATAGACCAGTGGAACAGAATAGAGGTCTCAGAAATAACACCACACATCTACAACTATCTGATCTTTGATGAACCTGACAAAAATAAGCAATGGGGAAAGGATTCCCTATTTAATAAATGATGTTGGGGAAAATGGCTAGCCATATGCAGAAAACTGAAACTGGACCCCTTCCTTACACCTTATACAAAAATTAATTCAAGATGGATTAAAGGCTTAAATGTAAAACCTAAAACCATAAACACCCTAGAAGAAAACCTAAGCAATATCATTGAGGACATAGGTATGGGCAAAGACTTCATGACTAAACACCAAGAAGCAATGGTAACAAAAGCCAAAACTGACAAATGGAATCTAATTAAACTAAAGCGCTTCTGCACCGCAGAAGAAACTATCATCAGAGTGAACAAGCAACCTACAGAATGGGAGAACTTTTTTGCAATCTATCCATCTGACACAGGTCCAATATCAAGAATCTACAAAGAACTTAAACAAATTTAAAAGAAAAAAACAAACAATCCCATCAAAAAGTGGGAAAAGGCTATGAACAGGCATGTCTCAAAAGAAGATATTTATGTGGCCAACAAACATGAAAAAAATCTCGTCATCATTGATCATTAGAGAAATGTAAATCAAAACCCCAATGAGATACTATCTCACACCAGTCAGAATGGCGATTATTAAAAAGTCTGGAAACAATAGATGAAGACAAGGCTGTGAAGAAATAAGAACGCATTTACACTGTTGGTAGGAGTGTAAATTAGTTCAACCATTGTGGAAGACAGTGTGGTGATTCCTCCAAGATCTAGAGCCAGAAATACCATTTTACCCAGCAATCCCATTACTGGGTTTATACCCAATGGATTATAAATTATTTTTCTATAAAGATACATGCACACATATATTTATTGGAGAACAATTTACAATAGCAAAGACTTGGAAATGCCCATCAGTGATAGACTGAATAAAGAAAATGTGGCACATATACACCATGGAATATTGTGCAGCTGGAAAAATGAATGAGATCATGTGCCTTGCAGGGACATGGATGAAGCTGGAAGCCGTCATCCTTAACAAACTAACATAGGAACAGAAAACCAAACATCACGTGTTCTCACTCGTAAGTGGGAGCTGAACAATGAGAACACATGGACACAGGGAGGGGAATATCACACACTCCAGCCTGTCAGGGGATTGGGGGTAAGGGAGGGAGAGCATTAAGACAAATACCTAATGCATGTGGGGCTTAACACCTAAATGACTGGTCGATAGGTGCAGCAAACCACCATGGCGCATGTATACCTATGTAACAAACCTGCACATTCTGCACTGCACATGTATCCTGGAACCTAAAGTAAAAAAAAAAAAAAAAGAAAAAACACAAAACACACAAACCAAGAAAAAACAATCTAGCTTAATTTTCTTTCTTTATGTTAACCAGGAATTGTTTGTTAGGAATTTTACATGTTTCAAGCATATTTAAAATATCCTAGAATTCGGTGCTCTTTGTTACACTACAGAGACCTTGAGAAAAGATGATTGAACACTACTTCCTTTGCTATCCTATTTCATTGTTTAATTACTTTTACTTTCCATTCAGTAAACACATTTGTATAATTCTACTAACCAAAGTGCTACAAAATTATTCAATTGAGTGCATTTGAATTTAAGAAAAATTAACATAATTTCATTTTAAATTGCTTGGTAGGAAAAGGTGTTGTGGCAAACAGGATTGAAATGTATATGGCAATCTTAAGTATGTTTTTCCTCACAAGTTTATAATAGGCTGACTAGCATGCTTCAAGAGCTCTCAAGTGTTCCAGGTGCTCTGGATCACAAATTTATTCTCCTTATACTTGTGTGTTTCAATTCACTAAGTAACAGTTTTATAACTAGAAAAGTTGAGTTTCAACGTTATGCATGCAAAATGATGTCACTAATACTACTATCGACTTAAGAGATAAAACATTTTAAAATAACCTGCTGCTAAAAATATATTTATTTGTGAGAATTTTTGAAAAAAAATTATATTGGATAGCTTTGTTTTAAAAATATGAGCTTTATTTAAACATTTTAAATAACTATGCTGATATATTCAAATAAATTCAAGAGCCAAAGTAGGAATGATATATACCTGCATGTCTTGGTCTATCTACCAGGGCCACAGTAGGAAGGACACATAGCTGCATGTTTTGGGTTATCTTATTAGATTTAAGATAAGGGTGTTTCTTTATATTCAAAGTATGATATAATTTATTTTGTGTATCATGGGGTACCATTAGCACAAAGCATACTTACACATGAAAATAAAGGCAAAGAAAAGACTTCAGGTATGCAACTGGGGAGTCACTTTGAGTCACAGTGAATTGGTAAAAGATCTATAATAATAAAATTAACTTTCTGGAACCCAAGTAGCCTCAGGATAGGCAATCTGCAGAACACATGAAATGATATAGTTGTTTTGACACAGAGTTAAGTAAAAAAAAAAAAAAAGTGATTTTTCCAAACATTTAATACAACTCTTGACATTTAAAAACAATTATATAAGTTTTTCCAAGTGTTTTTTTCCTTGAACTAAATATATGAAACTGAAATGTTTATGATCCCTTCATCTCACTTCAGAGTTGCACTCTCTAATCTGCAATAGTAATGCACTGCACAGATCAAGCCCCTTCTGCTCATGAGCCTTGGGCCAGTGAAGATATGGAGAAGTTAGACATACCAAAGAGAGACAAATCCAAAGTCTCTGGAAGGTCCTTCCTCCCCAACTCTAGGTATCTAAGCAAAGAATGGGTTCAGCTTTGTCATTATGATCTAGCAGTAAAGAGGGAAGTAGGTATCATCAAGGGGCACAAATACATAGATTATTAACATCTCCTTGCAAATATGAAATATGGTGTATTGGGAACCTTTTATAAGTCTAAAAGAATCAGGTGGACCTAAAGCATCTCAAAATAACAGGAGGAGAGAAGTGTTTCAGGTCCTAGAGTTGACATGAAGAAAAGATTCTCATGGTCTAGTTTCCAGGAAATTTTCCACCACTGGGAATGATCCAATTATAAGTCTTTTAAGCCTCTTACATTAAATGCAAGTCACCCTTAAAAAAAATAGAGAATCATTTTCAGGGCTAGTATAGGAAGCTCATTTTGAGGAAGGAAACACTCCCTCAATTGTAGTGGCTCCGTTATAATGCAGGAAATGTAGCATTTGGTCCTTTACTGATCCACATCGAATGGGAGGAGTAGAAGTAAGTAGGTTATTATGCCAATTAAAGAGGCTGCATAATCTTCTGCATGCCTCCCTTCGTTACTCAAGGGAAGGCTTCTGACTTGATTAAAATCTTAAGATTCAGCTGTCTTCCTCTGGAGAGGGAATTTTACTAATTCTTCCTATTTATCCACATAATTGACTATAGATGAGAGGCAAGCAGAGAAAAAAATAGTTTTTTCACTTTGACTTTTTTACCTCTACGTTTTCCTTTGTATCTCTAAGTTTTCCAGGGTTTTTGTCATATATCTAATATAATAGAAGGATAAAAATTCAAGTAATCACTCTTCCTCCATGATTTCATTCTGCCTTAACCCTGAAGAGCCTCAAACCTTTGAAAGACAGCAAGCACTTGTGATGAGCAAAAAGTCTATTTACCTCCTGAGCATGTCGAAGATAAATGTAGACTGCTTTTATCTTTGTTAATTTTATAGGGATTAGGGATTACTATAGAAGTAATAGGGAAACATATCTGATATCAGAGTATATTTAAAATATAATAATAAATATTTTCTATGAGATTATTTGATCCAACATTCACACTCTTAAAAATAAAGGATGTAGTGTAAGTTTCATCCAATGAATTATTTACTTTCACAGAAATTTTGTAATCAGCAATGTGAAAGTTTCTGAAGATAGGTCATCAAAGCAAATGAACTCTTCAGGTAAAGGAATATGTTCTGCTACTGAACAGATGACCTTTCAAGACCTTTTAAGAATCTACGTTCGGCCGGGCATGCTGACTCATGCCTGTAATCCCAGCACTTTGGGAGGCTGAAGCAGGCAGATCACTTGAGACCAGGAGTTTGAGACTAGTCCGAGGAAACCCCGTTTCTACAAAAATTAACTGGGAATCGTGGCACACACTTGTAGTTCCAGCTACTTGGGAGGCTGAGGTGGGAGGTTCATTTGAGCCCAGGAAGTTGAGGCTGCAATCGTAAGCCAAGATTGCACCACTGCACCCAGCCTGGGCAACAGAGTGAGACCTTGTCTCAAAATAAATTTTAAAAAAAAGAATCCATATTCAATTGATTTCAACTTTTTATAAGGACCTAAAATAAATTGCTGGTGACTGAGAAAAGCAAGAATCAAGTGTCACAGGCCATGTATTTGAAAAAAGGCATTGGAATATTTTTCTATAATTTAATGATGACTGGATAAAAGTCATAACTACTCACATCTATCATAATTCAGTATGTTTTAAGTAGATGTAACAGCTTAAGAGATTCAACAGAAAGAAAAGGAAAGTTGATGTATCCCTGAACTTCCCTTAATTCCTGTGAGAAATATCTTACAAAACTGATATATAGTGGGTAGGTCTGATGTCTGGGGAGGTGGAATAGCAGCCATAAGTAGAAATAAGGCAGATGCCAGAGACAGACATTTTAACTGTAACTTGTACCCTTTCCTTCTCTTACATTTTCCCAGGAAGATCATTTCCAGCCCCAAGGGCACCACAAAACAAAAACAAAATCAAAACAATCCAGGAGCCCTGGCTCGGAATCAATGTATCTGCAGTTAGAGAAAACAAGATAACCTAAGACATAACAAAAGTCAGGCTGGGATGGGAAACAGAAAACAAGAGGTGAGTGCAAATAATCAGGTCCCATCTCACCCCCACTTTTTTATTTCACTCTGTGAGGTAAATCATTACAACCTTAGAGAGTAAGCTTTACATAAATAGCATTGCTCTGAAAAGTCATACAGAGAGATTCCTTGAGGGATAGAATTGCCAGATTATGTGAAACCCAAGTTTTTTCAGCCCAGAATACCACACTAGGCTTTTCGGGGATATCTTTGCTTTTCCTCAATACACACACAGATGCCAACTCATTAGGAGGAAAAGAGGACAGGGGATTTCATCTGCCAACCTATTTACTTAAAAATTAAGTAAATAGGTGAATCAAGTTACAGAGTGAATATAGTAGTTGCAAAAATCAGGCAGATATTGTCAAGGAAGCTTCACAGAATGAATAAAAAATGTAAGAATTTTATAAAGAAAACATGAAATATATACATATTAATAAGATAAACGACAATTCTATATAAGAGCCTCTAGAAAAAAGAGAAAAATGAATTGACGGTAGAATACATTTGAAAAAAACAACTGATGATAATAAGCTAAAACACCTCATTCGGTTTACAAATAAATCAATGTGCAAAAAATTATTGATATCCATTGTAGTTGAAATATGCCTATTAATCAATTTTGAGATATTTCCAAATGTTTATCATGGTCACCTTGAAAATTTTAGGTTTATTAGGAACTGATGTTTAATTTCATGTACTCTGACTCCTATCTCAATCTTCTGCCAAGTGTCTCCCTGCTTTCGTACCTCAGGGTTCTTCTTGAAGCTCAGTCAAGAAGTAATGAAGTAGAGATTAATTCACTGAGAGTCAACCCTCATCCAATGGGAAGATGATTGTCTGTAAAGAAATGCTCAGCCTTTCCTCTGAAGGGTGCACAATTTTTCAAGGCAGTTCTCTGCTGATCAAAACCCCCTTGTTAGCAGTGAGTTCAATAATGTACAATTTATAGGCCTTTCCTCCCTCCTTGCCTCAATATCCCTGGCATCTCACCAGTACTTCCTGGGGTCACTTCCCAGAAAGATTGTTGCCCCAATGCTTTTGATTCTGCATCTGGTTTCTGGTGGATACCAAATCAAGACCCATCTCTTCTTAAGATCTCAATCACAGCACACGCACTACTACCTTTTACATTTTTTTTTTGAATTTTCTACTCCTTAATTTTTGTCTTTTGTCTGATTTTCACCAGAAAAAAAAACTTTATAGTTATTTTCAAGAAATTCTGATTATCATTTAGTCTTCTCAAAATGTATGCACTTGTTTTTTGTCCTGTATTTCCTAACTCAATTAGTGACATTATCACTTACCCAGACAAAGCAATCCAGCTTGGAGCTAACTACTCCTTGCTTTTCATCACTACCCTTCACACATGACGTCCTATCATTTCTCTTTTTTTTTTTTTTTTTTTTTTGAGACGGAGTCTCACTCTGTCCCTCACGCTGGAGTGTGGTGGCGCCATCTCGGCTCGCTGCAAGCTCCGCCTCCCGGGTTCACGCCATTCAGGAGGCCTCAGCCTCCTGAGAAGCTGGGACTACAGGCACCCACCACCACGCCTGGCTAATCTTTTTGTATTTTTAGTAGAGACAGGGTTTCACCGTGCTAGCCAGGATAGTCTCCATCTTCTGACCTCGTGATCTGCCTGCCTCGGCCTCCCAAAGTGCTGGGATTACAGGCGTGAGCCACCGTGCCTGGCCCCATCATTTCTTTATTATAAACATCTCCTAAATCTTGCCCTTTCCCTTCACCTACACTGTCATTTCTGTAGAATTTTCCACTTGTCATGGAGCTGATTCCTGCCTATATATGTTTGTTTGTTTGTTTAATGTGGCCACACTGTGTCCTTAAAAAGACCAGAATTGGAATTAGTTTTAATGTAGTACTGTATTTTTATTTTCAGTTTTGATTTTTTAAAATAACATGCTCCTCGTATAGGAACTGAGTCATTGGTACACAGGCCTGCCATGTTCTTTTGTGTCTTAATGTGGTTACTGTGTTCATACTACCAGATGTGCTCTTTCTCATTCCTCTAGTTTATGAAATCCCAATTTTCTAGGGCCCAACTTTTACATTATGCCCTTGGTGACCCATTCTATTCAATATTTGCTTTGGCCTTTGCCCTTCTGTGTTAACTTCTAGATAATTTTCAATAACATGTATCAAACCATATTATTAGTTTTTATCTGCCAATAGAAGATAAATTCCTGTCTTAATTGTGTTTGCATTTCCAACACTCATTACCGTGCCTCACATGTAATAGGTACTTAATAAAGTTTATAATATAGAAGAATGAGTATACATCACAAGGTAGTTATATTTTTCCTATACTTGACTTTTTAAAAGATCAAAACAAAATATATCGTCCCAATATAGCAATTTATTATATACAAGGTGCCAACCAATATTTTTATTGTTCAATCAGTAATTATAATTTCAAGTTATTACACTATAGGTCATTTTGCGAAGAGTAACAGCCATTGTTAACATAAATTATAAGAAAGCACTTTAAATCCCGTATGAAATCTCTTTAAAATCAACAAGTATCTTTTTTCCTATAAATTCTGGGGAGTTTGTTTATTGGTGGAGATATTTCCAATTAAGGGTTGGGGGAGCTGACAATCAGAAGAGAAGAGAAGACATGGTTGATGGGTACTCTGAGGGAGCACCATGAGTCCATACCTTTTGCAGAATAGAGAAAACCACAAATATGCCAGATCCAGTTCAAGCCAATTCCTGATAATACATTCAGCTCCTCTTAGGATGCCTCTGTATCTCAGAGGAAGTAGGAGATTGTGGTAAAAATGAAATAAAAATCCTGTGATCACAAGGGTAGGTTTCTTTTGATAGTCTTCTCCTTCTCTAAAATATTGACGCTTATAAGGAGGTAACTGTTTTCTAAAGATTTCACTCTCTCGTCCCACCTTTGCTCCATCCTGGAACAGTAAGTTCTTGACACTTTGCAGGTCAAAGTCATTGAGCGGGCTTGGAGAAATGATCAAGAGGGCCTTACCTAAAGGGCACAATATGTTAGGCTATCTAGGTATCATCCAGAATTTAGATATTTTCCTAAAACATACCTTTAGCTCTATAATCCCTATCTTAATGATATGTTTACAAATGGAGCCATGCAATTTAGCTCTGATATAGATTCTGTGACAAATTTTCTCTTTAAATACTAGAAATGGAAGAAATAAGATTTGTTTCTAGATTATGTGATAAATTCTGTTTCTAATTGCTAGAAATAGAAGGAATAACGACATAAAATACCTAATTGGCTCATAATGAGTTGAAGGATACAAAGAAGGTCATCTTTAGAGAATCAAGACAAAGTATTTGCTGTAAAAATAAATAGCAGCGGTTCCAATAACTGGACTTGTATTACAAGATGTAATATTGGTCTCTAAGAAATTATTTCAATGAATAATTATTAAGGGGAAAAACAGTAGAACAACACGAGTGGACCTGCAGCAATGTTTTTTGTTGTCTTGCTGTTTCCCTCACTAAAAATAATTCTATTAAATTATTTCTCTTCTGGTAGGTAGTAGTTATCACCCTGTGTCCCAAGTGCCACGACTGCCAGCCCACTCCACCAGTCCCTGAGGCTCATATGTGCTGTCCCTTATCCTCATTTTTTCCCAGGGCAGAGTAGGTCCAGATCTCTATAGTCATCAAAGGTCTCCCTGGTAGTGGGTCTAGAACTTCAGAGGACAAATGTACAATCATTCCTCTGAGACTATGGCCACCCCTACCATGTATTTCCCAAACTTGCCTACCTGTGGTCATGTGTGGGAATTGCTGACTGTGCTGTGTACACCTCCATATTTTCACTATTTCTGCTGAAAACACAGCTGGCTGTTAATGCTCTTTCTTGATGCCTATGCCCTATTGTCTTTATGAACTTCTGACCACTGTTTATAAACACCAAACTAAAATATCTATTCTCCTCTGTGGGTTATTTTTTTCCTCTAAGATTAACAGTTTGAGAGATTATTTTTGTTGTTTCCATTCATAATCATGCATATTTTATAAACTGTTTCATGTAACCTCAGATGACTCTAGAGAGATCTATGGAGCACTAATCATTTTAGAATATATAGATTCTTAGAAGAGTTGAAGAAGGGGTAGCAAGTTCCTTAGTGCAAAATGACTTGAAGAAAAAGTAAAGGTGAAAAAAAAACACCTTTAACAATTGCCAATATAGGAGCAAGATTTAAGAGTAAGCACAAAGCCAAAAATAAATAAATAAATAAAAATAAATAGCATAGTAGCAGACCAGAAAATGAAATAAAGTAATAAGAATTTATAAAGAATTATGGTCTTCAATTTTGTTCTCAACATAGAAGGAGAAGCAGAAATGAAATAAAATTTGCCAACAAAGTGCGTAAATCTAGTTCTTCTTATTGATTTGACTCTAATATTATAAATTACATTAAAATGGTAGACAGAATTTGGTAAGTGGGTTATTCATCTATGACATTACTTAAAGAAGAAAAAAACATTGCCTAAGAGAAAATTTTTAAAAAATCCTTAATGATAAGAAAGATAAACACCTCTTAGAAAAACAAAACACAACTCAATTATACATATGTATAATCTTAGCTGATGTGCTGATATGCTGGTATGTGTGTATATATATTCATATATATTCTTATATGTAGTCATATATATATACATATATATATATATACACATATATATTGAGAGAGAGAGAGAGAGGGAGGGAGAGATTATCTTTTACCACAGCATGCATTATCAATTGATATTGATTGTAAATTGTGAAGAATAGGAATAATTTATATGGCTACCATAGTTCCAGGAATTGTGCCTAATGTTATTCTCTTAAATGAAATCACAGATATTTTAAAGATATTTTTCTTAAAGTAATTGTCTTTCCAGTAGAATAAGATAAATCAGTTATTGACTTCACTTCTGGCATTCATCAGCTATTCTTACGGGCTAACACTTTGCTTTTTTACATTGCATAGCATATCCACGTATGTATCTTTATATTATGTTGTACATAATTTTGCTGTGGATGGAAAAAGGGTGAATCAAAAATCCCTGGGCCTTTTTCTTCCATTGAAAATGGGTCATATAGCCTTCCTTTTAATTTTCTAATCAACTGTCATAAAATGCTTTGTGAAATTCTTCCTAATGTATGCCATAATACATAACTTGGCATACAATATATCCAAGAGTCACAATGGTTATGGTTTTCTATAATTCCATCAGAAAACAACAACAAAAGATGAGCATTAAAAAATTGGCTCTTAATTATTTTCATACTCATTTTGGTGAAAATTTGTTCAACCTTTTCTTTTAGATAAAAGATAGTAACTGTTATTACTTAAGTTCATTAAGATAAAATGTCCTTGGGTATCAACTGGATTTAATCGTACCCAATAAATTTGGATTCTAGTAATTTATACATTTTTCTAAAATATATCTTCCATGCCATAATTCCTTAAAGTACTATAATATAAAACTGTAAGATCTTCAGGAAGACTTTTTTAATCTGCTCTAACATTTTGAGTAGAAAATTCATTAGTAACCGAATGTATTATCACATTATATTATTTTAAAATACTAATAATTTATATAGGTATTTTTTGTCCAGGCGTAATCAGTGAAGAAATCACTCTTTTTCATAAAAAATGTTCTTAGTTGACACTGTTACCTGTTAGGATGCGCATAATAACATTTAGATTAGTTTTAGATTAGTATAATATTTTGAAAAAAAGAGAATAATTCTAGATAATTTCCTCAGCTATATTGGTAGGTATAGAACTATGATTACTTTTTAAAAATGTTTAGGATGTGGAATTTATGGAGGTGGAAGGTCTTGCAATAATAGGCCCTTAGATTATCTGATGGTTTTCATGCCCTTCCACTCCCTTATATTCTTTCCTATGTCAACAGATTTTTCTTCAGAAAAGACTTCACCCTGTCATTCCCATACTCATAAACTTTTTACATCACAACAACATTTCATCTCATGGTCATTTTTTTCTTGTGGAATTATCTCCACCAGCCTACCGCCATCATTGGCGACATTGTTGTTTTCAATATCGTAAAAATTATCTTTATTCCAGCCGGGCGATGTGGCTCACGCCTGTAATCCCAGCACTTTGGGTGGCCGAGGCGGGCGGATCACAAGGTCAGGAGATGGAGGCCATCCTGGCTAACACGGTGAAACCCCGTCTCTACTAAAAATACAAAAAATTAGCGGGGCGTGGTGGCGGGCGCCTGTAGTCCCAGCTACTCGGCAGGCTGAGGCAGGAGAATGGCTTGTACCCGGGAGGTGGAGCTTGCAGTGAGCCGAGATCGCGCCACTGCACTCCAGCCTGGGCGACAGAGCGAGACTCCGTCCCCCACCCAGAAAAAAAACAAATTATCTTTATTCCTTATGATCCAAAAATAAAACTTTCACTTTGTAACTTTCCTCGAAATCTTTCTAGCCCTATCAATGCAAAACAAAGGCACATCTCTTTTTATGTTTCTATAGTACTTTATATAAACTGTACATATATTAATTAATTGTTATTAATTATTTATTGTTTAGGTGTTTCATTTTATGGCAAAACAATAAATGCAATGGCTATATTTGATTATCTTTTTTGTTAACATTTAGCATATTGCTTCTACAAAGTAAGTGCTTACTGAATGTTGCATTAGAGAATTGAATGAAATACAACATTCACAGGATTAACTACTTAATCACTATAACTTGCAATACAAATACAAATCTACTTCTCTCTCCCCTTCTTGCCCACAACAAAATTAATGTGGCTTTGAACTGTGAATCATATTTTCTTTTTCAATACCAGGTAACATTTCAAATTATTTAATCAATTTTAGATATTTATTATAAAGTTTATTAGATAGAATTTAAATTTTTGTTAAGGAAATTGTTATAGACTATTCCCTATGCATAAAACAACTTTATCTATACTGCTTATAAAACTTAACAAATATATAAGATATTTGTAATTCTATAGAATTTAAATAGAGACATATGCTTTGAAGATGATTTAAATATTCACGAAGAAGACATAATTTTACATTATCTCTCAGTGAGGAGAACCTCATATTGAAGAAAGATTTAGAATCAGAGAGCTCCAAGTACTATACTCTGTTTGAGTTTCTGTCTCACTCTAGAAACACAAATTTGATTAATGTATTTTATTCAAAAGTCAAGCTGCTATCTGAGTGGTTGTTTTTCATTAGTTTAATGCTTTGAGCATAATATAATTAGAAGTATCTGTACTTCTCTGGTAATCTCTTTTATTAAATGGGTCTTAGATTCAAGGAAATTAATTGTTGTCAAAATAGGGTGCTGTTGAGCATAAACCCTATGAATAATACACTCAATAATATTTATTCCATAAAATATCTAAAATATCGATGTGGTTGTCATTGGAAAATGTGTTAGTAGAGTATAAATATGAAAATTTTCAAGATACACAGCTTGAAAATGTGCATAAATTAAATTAGAAAAGATAACACTATGCTTATTTCAAACAAAAAATATGATTCAAAGAGAAAAGTCTTCTTGTTAAGTGTTTCTATAGAGGCAAGTAAAGAAAATTAGAAAAGATTTTAAAAGGTCAAATGTGTTTTATAAAGTCTAAAAATACATTTACAAATATAACGTGAGTAAATGTTCTATGTATTCATGATCGATAAGGTGGTAGACTGTAAAACTGATTTATTTTATTCACATGTACAAATGTAATAATACACACATTTAGTCAACACAATATATGTAGATTGAATAGAAAAATTTGACTGTATTACTTAGGTTACATATGAGTTAAGACATTTCTTTTGTAAATTTAAGTAACAAAATAAAGATGTTTGTTTAAGACCAACACATACACACACACACACACACATCCCATACACATTTTAAAAACAAATATTTAGGTAGTTGGAATAGAAAAAACCTTTTGTTTTCTTTCTAAATTTACTTATAATTAACTCAATTTTCTATGTTACTTTGCAAATATAGAGTCTGATTCATACTCTCTGTTTTTTGGGGAAATTAAATGATTAAAAATGCTGTTTGAGAAGGCCTAAATAATATTACAGCTAAGCAAACATCTTTTTATTTCTCAACTCTCAGCTTTCAGGATCACCTTCCCAGGAGAACTGATACAGTCTAATCTCCATGAGAAGAAAACAGATCTTAAACTCTCAATTAATGCATCACTGCTTTTCTCCTCAATTATCTTAGAGTGCAATTAAACACACGTTTATATACCAATTATTAGAAGTCACTTTTATCAAGTATTACTTTTATATAAAAAAGCCTAAAATAATAAAATGATAACATAAAGTGAAGTTATATAATTAGGAGTTATTTGGAGTACTGTCTTGAATCATCTTCCGCTAACTTTAAAGTTAACAAACTTCTTCTGAAAGGGAAGAAACAAAACAAAAAATTGATTCCTGTTAAAGCAAACGGTCTATGTGTTTTTTGGCTGCATAAATGTCTTCTTTTGAGAAGTGTCTGTTCATGTCCTTCGCCCACTTTTTGATGGGGTTGTTTGTTTTTTTCTTGTAAATTTGTTTGAGTTCATTGTAGATTCAATGCCCACCATCACTGGCCATCAGAGAAATGCAAATCAAAACCGCAATGAGATACCATCTCCCACCAGTTAGAATGGCAATCATTAAAAAGTCAGGAAACAACAGGTGCTGGAGAGGATGTGGAGAAATAGGAACACTTTTACACTGTTGGTGGGACTGTAAACTAGTTCAACCGTGGTGGAAGTCAGTGTGGCGATTCCTCAGGGATCTAGAACTAGAAATACCATTTGACCCAGCCATCCCATCACTGGGTATATACCCAAAGGACAATAAATCATGCTGCTATGAAGACACATGCACACGTATGTTTATTGTGGCACTATTCACAATAGCAAAGACTTGAAACCAACCCAAATGTCCAACAATGATAGACTGGATTAAGAAAATGTGGCACATATACACCATGGAATACCATGCAGCCATAAAAAATGATGAGTGCATGTCCTTTGTAGGGACATGGATGAAATTGGAAATCATCATTCTCAGTAAACTATCGCAAGGACAAAAAACCAAACACCGCCTGTTCTCACTCATAGGTGGGAATTGAACAATGAGAACACATGGACACAGGAAGGGGAACATCACACTCTGGGGACTGTTGTGGGGTGGGGGGAGTGGGGAGGGATAGCATTAGGAGATATACCTAATGTAAATGACGAGTTAATGGGTGCAGCACACCAGCATGGCACATGTATACATATGTAACTAACCTGCACATTGTGCACATGTACCCTAAAACTTAAAGTATAATAATAATAAAAAAATTAAAAAATATAAATATAAATATAATTTTTTTAAAAAATGCAAGCAGTCTATAGTAAAGCTGACACTCTTAGTAAAGCAATAAATTAGATCTACGTCAACATGTTCTTCCTGAAGTCAGGTATAACATTGATGAATTTTGGCATATTTATTGATGTCTTCAAGGGATAGAATCTTTGACTTACATGAAAGCTGTTCTCAACTTTAACAATTAAATTCATTCACATTTTTAATATAGCAATTTTTTTCCAGATAATGATAACTATTTACAAGGACCTGCTACACTACATAAAAGATGGAGTTTTCAAAGGCATGGTTCACTCTCACCATTGTTAATCAATTCAAATGGAAAAAATCCTTTTATTTGTTACAAGTGAATTAAAGAATAACATATTTACTGAAGCTGATAGTTATTTATCAAGGGGAACTGCATTTGCCTGGTAACTGAGATAACGTGTAGTAATTAAAAGATAAATTGGTATTTATATTGAATTATAAAGAAATCTATACCTCATTTAGTATTTCATTACAACTTGCTAAAAGCAACCTAACTGCTCCATGTATTTTCAGATTTACATAAAATTATATAATAAATAACATTTTAACATTTATTCGCTTTTAAATTTTGATGATTTTATTTTCAAACTAAATAATTATTCTATACAAATCTGGCTTTGTTTCTAGTAAAAATAATTTACAGATTCAATTTTCCAATATACTAGAAAATGGTATATTGGAAAATATGGTAGTATTAACTGTAAATTCTGGTAGTATCAACTGCAAATTCCACATACTTTATCATATTTAAGTAGATGGGACTTTCTGTCTGACAAAATGCATAGTTTTGCCTTGGAGTTCTGTCATCCTTGAAGGAATAGTCAACGTGAAATCTTTGGTTACTCAAGGGATAAACAATAAGGCCATTTTTATAATATAATATCTTATTTAGAAGTCACCATGTTAAAGAGTTTTTTCTGCTTTCCAGTGAATTGGCTCACTATGACAAAGGAAATACCAGCCTAAATCGCAGAGAGTAGAATAAGAATACAGAATGGGAATAAAGAAACTGTAAAGAGGCAAGAGAAACAAAATTTAAAAGCAAGAAAAGTTGTGTTTCATGTTTAATAATGCAAATGAATGTTATCTAGCTTGTGGCAAGTGTGACATATGTTACTTGATGATTGCATAGTTAGAATGTTGTACCTATTTATGTTTGTGATTCATTTTATACTTCAGTGTTGATACTCTGAGGATTATTTTCAGGAACAAAGCTTTATACTATGAACATTCCCTGTCATGTTCTGAAAATTTGCAAACATTGCTATTTTGAAATAATAATATCAGTAATGAACAATTAGGAAAAAAAGTGTCAAAAATCTCTTTGATAAGACAATGTGATTAATATCTCCTTTATTTTCCTTGTGTCAGGATTTTCAAGTCCTTTGCTAAATTTTCTATAGTAGCATGGCACCCTTAGCTATATGTATTTTTTGTATGTGTGACCGTTGGATTTAATATAATTGGCAAACTGGATTCTAGGCTACTTCCCTATTACTTACATTTTTCTGAGGAAACGTTGTTAATTGGTTACATTTAGTTGGAATAGTTGGAAAGCAAAGTGAAGTTTCTAATTCAGTAAATGAGTTGTAAACCAAATCATGTGATATCTTGAATGCTGTCTTAACTTACTTAGAATAACCCAGCTCTGATATGTCTGAATGATAGTAAAATAGTACGTAAGAGATAAGGATTGATGGGAGATAACAATATAAAAGATAGAAGAAGATCATAAACGAGATTCACATACAGACATAAAGAGAGGATAAATGAGAGCTGGAAAATTATTATTACCAAACTGGCTTTGTGAATAAATTCTGAAAAACCACATGACTTTGTATTCATCATTTATTTTAAAACAGATATTTATTGAAAAAATGGCAGACATTAAACATAAATGAAAAATTAGGCATTTTTAATATTTTTTTCTTTTTCTTTAAAGATTAATTCCTCCTGGAATAACATTAACTCAAAACATGAAACTTACTATGTGCCAGGAATTGTTCTAAGTAATTTGGATATAAAATTATTTTAATCCTGGCAGCAAAAGATAGATTGATGATAGGAACATTGAGACTGAGAGACAAAGCAGTTTTGTCAAACTGAGAATTTAGCCAAAAAAGTTACAGCTAGAATTCAAACTCAGTTTTATCTGATTTCAAACATCAAGCTTTTCTCACCACTCTACGCTGTCTCCTCAAAATCAGACTTTGTAATGCCAGAATGTTCTAATTAAAATCAGACATGTATGATAATTACAAGAAAATTCACAGCAGTAATCCAGAAATTGAGTGCCCCCATTTATTTCAAAAAGTAAAATGACATTCTGAAATTCAAATTAATTTTAATTGACAGTGATGATGCTCTAAATGTCATATAACTTTTCAGAGATGAAAAGAAAAGAAGAAAGGGATATACAAAACAAAAGATAAGATTTTACTACTTTCATATAGTAACAACCATTTTCTTTTCAGAACCAAATATGATTATATGATTTTAAATTCAGACATTAGATACGTTTACATATGGAAATATATTAGAAAACATAAAATATCTTATAACTATTTTGTCTGCCAGTGTGAACTTGCTCCAGACCTATTAATATTGTCATAACCAATTTGGCTGTACTTCGGGAAAGTAAAGACAAAATAAAAAGTATTTCATCATATAATTACATTATTAAAATAACAAATACTATTAGAATAAAGAAAATTTATTGTAATTTTAACTAATTTATTTTTGTAGATTTTCCCCTTTCTCTAACGTCAATTAGATGAGCAACATCCCCTTTCCTTTTATTACTGTTTTATTTTTTATTTTGTTTTGTAAAACAATTCCTTCTTTATTTCATTTTGTAAAGAAATTCTTTTTTGCTTTGGGGGCAGTTTCTGATTCAAGTCCCAAAGTACAAGTTACTGAGTCGACATTAGCATTTCCTTTTTAGTAAATGTCCTTACTTCTTCAGGAGATTTTATTAGATGAGTCAGAGATTGATAAATTAGTTGAAAGTGCTTTGAAGGTCAGCAAGGTCCTTAGGAGGAATTTCTTGATGCTGATGATGAGGAGGCAACGTTCTACTGCTGAAAGTGGGAAGGACTCATATGACTTTCTAGCTGGACCCCACTAAGCTTTAAAAGCTGGTGGGGCAGGGTGATTGCTATGGTTTGGATGTTTGTCCTCTGCAAACTTCATTTTGAAATATGATCTCTAATGTGGCAACACTGGCAGATAGGGTATGGTGGGAGGTGTTTGGGTCATGGGGACAGATCCCTCATGAATAGATTAATGGCCTCCCTAAGGGGTGAGTGACTTCTTATTCTTTTATTTCCTGCAAGAGCTGATTGTTGGGAAAAAAAAAAAAAAAAAGGTTGGCACCTCCCCCTCCCACCTCTAGTTTTCTTGCCATATGATATCTTTGCAGAGGACAGCTCCCCTTCTGCTTTCTGTTTTGAGTTGTTGCACCCTGAAGCCCTCAACAGATGCAGATGCCCAACCTTGAACTTCCCAGCCACCAGAAGCTAAACCTCTTTCCTTTATAAACGACCTAGTCTCAATTATTCTATTATAATGACACTAAAGGAACTAAGACAATGATGCATGTCAAAGGCCAAACTGACACTTTATAAGTGATCTTAGGAAAGTTGCTTAACTTCTAATATGTATTTTCCTAATGCATAAATACAAATAAAAATTAATATCATTTTTGAAATGATAATATAACAACTAAGAAATATCTTTACTATATGACATACTAAATAAGCATTAGCTTACCCTCCAATATACCAACCCAATAAAACAGCTTTAAGAAAAATTCTAGTACCAAGCAGAAATCTTTGATGTTTCCTACTTTCAACTCTCACTCAATTCCATCTCTAAAATACAAGTAACTAACTGATTATCTGCCTTCCTCTGTCTCTTTCCTCCACTCAAGTCTCTAAACACAGTGATATTCTTAAATGTAAATTAAATTTTGACAGTACCCTGTAAGAGTTCTTCAATGACTTCTGCTTGTACTTGATATTTTAACATGGCCTGCAAGACACTACTGATCTAGCTCTGTTATGTTCTATAGCCTCACCTCATTCCTCTTCCTTCCACCTATTGTTCTCCAGTATCACTGGTCTTTACACTTTTCAAATATACAGTTTTTGTGACCTATGAGCTTACTTTATATGATATGCATTATTTTATATTTGTTAAGGTATATTTTGTTCAACAGAATGTGATCTATCTTGATGAATGTTTGATGTGAGCTTGACAACAATGTGTATTTTGCTGTCGTTGGATGAAGTGTTTTGTTTAATTCTACTGAATATCCAGTTGATTGGTGATTTTGTTCAATTCAACTATTTATTTACTGATTTTTCCGCCTGTGGTAGCTGTCAATTATTATTATTATTATTTTTTGAGACGGAGTCTCGCTCTGTCACTGTCAATTATTGATGGGGGATTTTGGGGTCTCCAACTTTACTGGTGCATTTGTTCATTTCTTCTTGCATTTTAATATATTTTTGCCAAAATATTTTGACACTATCATTAGGCACATACTCATTAAAGATTATTTTGTCTTCTTATGGAATTGACTTCATTATCATTATGTAACGACCCACTTTATTGTTGATAATTTTCATGCTCTGAAGTCTATTTTATCTAAAATCAATATAGCTATTTCAGCTTTTTTTTTTTTTTTTTTTTTTTTTTTTGCAGGGAACGGAGTCTTGCTCTGTCGCCCAGGATCGAATGCAGTGGCATGATCTCGGCTCACTGCAAGCTCCGCCTCCTGGGTTCACGCCATTCTCCTGCCTCAGCCTCCCAAGTAGCTGGGACTACAGGTGCCCACCACCATGCCCGGCTAATTTTTCTGTATTTTTAGTAGGGTTGGGGTTTCGCCATGTTAGCCAGGATGGTCTCTATCCCCTGACCTCGTGATCCACTCGCCTCAGCCTCGGCCTCTCAAAGTGCTGGGATTACAGGCGTGAGTCACCATGCCCAGCCTTATTTCAGCTTTTTAATTTCATGCAGTGTTAGCATGATATATCTGTCTCTATCCCACTGATTTTAATATATCCATATCTTAATATTAAAATAGGCTTCTTGTGGAAAACATGTAGTTGGGTCTTGGTGTTTTATCTACTTTGAATGTCTCCATCTTCCATAGGTATATTTAGACTATTGATGTTAAAGGGGTTTTTCATGTATTTAGATTAATACCTACTGAATTTATTATTTTCATCACTTTGTTGTCGTTATCTCTTTTTTTTTTTTGAGACAGTCTCATTTTGTCACACAGGCTGGAGTGCAGTGGTGCAATATTGGTTCACTGCAACCTCTGTCTCCTGGGTTGAAACAGTTCTTGTGTCTCAGCCTCCCTCCCATGTTGTTGTTTTATTTAATATCCTACTCTTTTGTTGCCTTCTTTGGATTTAATTGAGTATTTTATATGATTTGAAATTTTCTTCTCTCTTAAGATATCAATTATAATTCTTTATAATATTTTACGGGTTGATTTTAGGCTTGTTTTATATATATACCTTCTATATATATTCTCTCTATATATTCTCTCTCTATATTATATATATATTCTCTCTATATATTTCTATATATATTCTCTATATATATTTCTATATATATTCTCTCTATATATTTCTATATATATTCTCTATATATATTCTATATATTTCTATATATTATATATATTCTATATATTTCTATATATATTATATATATTCTATATATTTCTATATATTATATATACTATATATATATATACTATATATATAGTATATATATAGTATATATATAGTATATATAATATATAGTATATATATTATATATACTATATATTTCTATATATATTATATATGATATATATATTTACTACTAATCCAAGTTAACCTTTAAATAACACTATAATATGCCATGGGTAGGGCCAATACCTAATAACAGAATATTCTCAATTCCCCTTTTCCAATTCCTATAACATTGCTATGATTTATTTCACTTATCCATAAGTTTTAATCTCTGAGTACATTGTTGCTATTATTATTTTGAACATTTTCCTATATAAATTAAGAATAGGAACAATAAAATATTGTATTTTACTGTTATTTATTTCCTCTTTGTCACTCTTCATTAGGCATATCTATCTCATCTTCTCACTTTCTGAATAACTTCTTTTAAAATGTCTGGCAAAACAAGTCTACTGGCAATGAAGTCTCTCAATTTTTGTTTGTTTGAGCAAGTCTGTATTTTCCCCACATTTTTGAAAGACAATTTCACTGTTTAGAGATATCTAGATTAATATTTTTTCTTTCAAAACTTTAAGTATTTCATTCTACTGTCTCTTGCTTATATGGTTCCTAAAGAGAAATCTGATGTCATTCTAATCGTTGCTTCTCTACAGATATGGTTTTCCCCGATTTAATATTTTCCCTTCTCATTTCTTTTAGGATTGTCTCTTTGATTTTCTGCAGTTTGAGTGTAATATGTTTAGTCATAAACTTTTAAATTTTTATCTTACTTTTGTCTGCTGTTTTGTGTCTATCATTAATGTTGGAAAATCCTCAGACATTAGTATTGCAAACACTCTCTTTCTTTCTCTCTTCTCCTTCTATAATCCCATTCCAACGATTTGTCAATGAGTTTTCATTTACTTTACCCTGTTACCGTTTCCCAGGATGGTTTCTGCTCTTGGGCTCCTGCTCCAGAAAGTTGGCATTCTCGGTCTTCTCCAGTTTAACTCTCAAATTTTGGAATACCAGTTGGTCTGACCATCATAATTCTCTGGTTGACCTAAGAAGAGTTGTTAATTTTTAGTTTGTTCAGATTTTTTCTTACCACAAAATGGGAATGATGACTTCCAAGCTTCCTACAAGACAGACTAGAAACCAGAAGTCTACAATTGTTTTTTCAACTGTGTGTTGTTTTTAGATATGGTTTGGCTCTGTGTCCCTACCCAAATTTTATCTCAAATTGTAATCCCCACACGTAGAGTGAGGGAGGTGATAGGATCATGGGGTGAGATTCCCCCATGCTGTTCTTGTGATAGTAAATGAGTTGCCACAAGATCTGATGGTTTTATGAGTGTTTGACAGTTTCCTCCTACACATTCTCTTCTCTTCCTGCTGCCTTGTGAAGAAGGTGCCTGCTTCCCTTTCACTTTCCACCAGGATTTTAAGTTTCCTGAGGCCTCCTCAGCCATGAGGAACAGTGAGTCAGTTAAACCTCTTTCCTTTATAAATTACCCAGTCTTGGGTATTTCATTATAGCAGTGTGAAAATTGACTAATACCTTAGTGTTAACTTTTTGGTATATTATTTATTAGACTCCAAGCATAATAAAATAAATGAGTAGATTTACCTTGTTCTGTGTATTCTCCCCAGTGCTCGGGAAATACTCAGCATGTTTTTGTTAATGAAGGAATCAATGACACTTTAATTATGGAATATTTTCAATTCATATTCACTATATACATCTTTGCATTTGATGAAAGAGATTCAATGTCAATATTATGTTAATATCACTTTGATTCAAGAACACTTTGAGATAGTGATTGGAAGAGACTGTTAATTCTTCCTTTTAAGTATTTTCTCTGAATGAATGGCCAACTTAGAGAAAAAAAAAAGATGCCTACAGAATGTAATGACTTTGAAGAAACTGTTTTGAATGATGTGACATCAGCCTATTCTAATGAAATAGAGGACTGTATAAAGTACTAGATATGACATTAAGATGACTTTCTTTTCCTTAGAGACTAGCTTTAAGGAGTGGAACATGTAGATAAGCAGTATCCCTCTGGAGTTTACAGGCATGAGCATTTCAAATACTGTCTGGCGATCTCACTACATAATCTTCTGCTAGCTGAATGAGAGTCAGGCTAATCAATCCAATATGAATTTTTTGCCCATGACAGCTACTGAAGTAGCTCCTCAGGTTCTTCCTTACGATAGCCTTCTGCTTCATTAATTGTAAACCTGTTTTTGAGTCTGCTGTCCATGACAGTCTCTAGAAAATTACTGAAATGACAAGTTTCCCTGATCAGCTCATTGGAATATCACAGTTGCTTATCAGGGAGATTGAAAGCCAAAAATCCATCAGTCAAAGGGAAGTATGATACTCTCCGTTCTTTTGCATGTCTTTTGAGACAGATGCAAGAAACTGGAACATTCTATCACATAATTATGTCATGTAAAATAAGAAAGATTTTTTCTTTCAATGTATGCACTAAAATATGAAAATTAGAATAATCAATAATAATCTTAATTCAAAAACACAGATATAAAATGGAGAACATGTTTGGAGAGAGGCAACATTCATTTAAATTGCTACTATTAAAAGAAACTCTCTAGACTTGAATTTGATTACATAGAATCATTTTTAAATTTTTAAAAAATTTTAGTTTCAAGAAAACTTACAGACATATCAGAGGTAGGTTAGGATAAGATTTGTAACTTTAAGCATGAATAAATGGAGTTATGTTTTCGTGGATAACTCGAAGTTTATATGTTACAAAATAACTGAAAATGCCAAAACCTGTACCCTGAAACCTTAATTCAGTGTGAACAGATGTGAGAAAAGCCATGAACCTTTCTCTCTACAAAATACATATATATATGAATAGAAATAATGATTTTGAGTAAGCTGATTATCTTATGTACATGATTTTCCACCCCCAAAATGATTTTAACTTCAATAGTTGTTCTCTCACAAAGCATTATGCTAAATATTACTCCAATATTTAAAATTCATGTTATCATCTTTAATTTTACATTATCAGTTGGGTGACCAATTATATTGCAAAATGTTCTCAATTAATGACTGAGTTGTGCTGGAAAGTTTGCAAGTCTGATGTTTAGAAATTGGAATGCGGTTCTGATCAAGATAATGTTGCTAAAATTTTTATGTTCTGAAATCGGCAAATATAATCCAAATATTTGGATTTTAAAAAAAGACCTAAAGATTATTTCATAACACTTCCTTTTGTAAGAAATATGCTGCAAGTAGAGATGTCTAAAAGATTCCTTCTACTGTGGCAAGAATAAGATCTGTTGTATGCTGACGTTCCATACTTATGAGGTTAGGGGAGCAAGTTACAAACTCCTGCTCGAGGAGCAGCACTTCTCAGGACAGGTTATGGGAGAAAACAACATCCGCCCAGTGTAAGGATTCTAAATCGATAATGAGAAGGTTGTTTTTTGTTTTGGTTTGGTTCGGTTTGTTTTGGTTTGGTTTGGAGAGTCCCTAAGTGTGAATGGGGCTGGGTAAAAACAGGAGAGGATGTTGACATACTGGGGATGAAGGCAGAAAGAAAAGTATTGTCAAGAGGCCACTGTGTTGGTTCCTGCACTTCTCTTAGTTCTTTCTTTCACCTCTGAGAAGAGGAAAAAAGCCCCTGGAGGATGACAATAATGACTCCTATGGGGTCCCTTGGTGTTGCTTCTGTGTCTGTTGATTCTTGCATGATTTTATAGTCAGCATCAAGTAGAATCAATTTCGGGTAAGCACAGTAAATGTTTTCATATCAAATGATAGCATACAATAACTTTATTTCTGATGTTAATTTAAATGTAAAAATATCTTGGCTGTAAGGGTATCAGATAGCTACCATAGTTTTTTTTCTTTTTTCTAATCAACCAACAGATTTTGATTTTTCCGCACTAATACATTTTAAGTGACTAATTTCTATCATGCAAGCTCAATGAGAAAAAAGATAGTATATAAAATGCAAAAAAAAAAATCCTTTTTACAATTAGCATAGAAATAAACTTTTAGCTGTAGTAATGAAACAGCCACCATGGTGGCTCCCAATTCTGCCAACTTTCTGGTGTTCACACCATTGTGTAGCTCCCTCCCACACTACACAAAGATGATCTGTCCTACTAGTAGATTACTATGGAGATGGAAGTCTTTTACTTCTGAGACTAGGTCAGGCTTTGCAAAAATTTTTACTTTTTTGCAACTAGTAAAATTTTTAGTTTTTCCCTGGGTTTTGTTTGTTTGTTTGTTGTTTTTGTTTTTTGCTCAGAATGTACTCACATACACAACAAAAAAATCAACCCTGCTAATAGTTGAAATAAAAGAAAAGTATTCTAAGCAAGGAAATATTTTTGAGTTCAATCATTGATTTGCCCAAGATTCTAAGAAATGTTTATTTATAATATATTATTTTCAAGAAAATTGAGCTTACTAATGGAGTAACATTGAACAGACAAATATAGTCTTTGCTTTTATAGAGCTTATACCACAGAAAGGAGTGATCACATCTATGTTCTATAATCTTCTATTATCTTAGAAAAAAGTGTTTCAATTGAGGCAATAATTAATAGCCTACCAACCAAAAAAAGTCCAGGACCAGACGAATTAACAGCCGAATTCTACCAGAGGTACAAAAAGGAGCTGGTACCATTCCTTCTGAAATTATTTCAATCAATAGAAAAAGAGGGAATCCTCCCTAACTCATTTTATGAGGCTAGCATCATCCTGATACCAAACCCTGGTGGAGACACAACAAAAAAAGGAACTCTAGCCAATATTCATGATGAACATTGAAGCAAAAATCCTTAATAAAATACTGGCAAACCAAATCCATCAGCACATCAAAAATCTTATCCACCATGATCAAGTTGGCTTCATCCCTGGGATGCAAGGCTTGTTCAACATATGTAAATCAATAAACATAATCCATCATGTAAACAGAACCAACAACAAAAATCACATGATTATCTCAAAAGATGCAGAAAATACCTTTGACAAAATTCAACAGCCCTTCATGCTAAAAACTCTCAATAAACTAAGTATTGATGGAATGTATCTCAAAATAACAGGAGCTATTTATGACAAACCCACAGCCAGTATCACACTAAATGGACAAAAACTGTGAGCATTTCCTTTGAAAACTGGCACAAGACAAGGATGCACTCTCTCACCACTCCTATTCAACATAGGGTTGGAAGTTCTGGCCAGGGCAATCAGGCAAGAGAAAGAAATAAATGATATTCAATTAGGAAAAGAGGAAGCCAAATTGTCTCTGTTTGCAGATTATATGATTGTATATTTAGAAAACCCCATCATCTCAGCCCAAAACCTCCTTAAGCTGATAAGCAACTTCAGCAAAGTCTCAGGATATAAAATCAATGTGCAAAAATCACAAGCATTCCTATACACCAATAATAGAGAGCCAAATCATGAGTGAACTCCCATTCACAATTACTAAAAGAGAATAAAATAAGAATCCAACTTACAAGGGATGGAAGGACCTCTTCAAGGAGTACTACAAACCACTGCTCAATGAAATCAAAGAGGACACAGACAAATGGAAGAACATTCCATGCTCATGGATAGGAAGAATCAATATCATGAAAATGGCCATACTGCCCAAAGTAATTTGTAGATTCAGTGCTATCCCCATCAAGCTACCACTGACTGTCTTCACAGAATTCGAAAAAAACTACCTTAAAATTCATATGGAACCAAAAAAAAGCCTGCAAAGTCAAGGCAAGCCTAAGCCAAAAGAACAAAGCTGAAGGCATTGTGCTACCTGACTTCAAACTATACTACAAGGCTACAGCAACCAAAAGAGCACGGTACTGGTACCAAAACAGATATATAGACCAATGGAATAGAACAGAGGCCTTAGAAATAACACCACATATCTATAACTGTCTGATCTTTGACAAATCTGACAAAAACAAGAAATGTGGAAAGGATTCCCTATTTAATAAATTGTGCTGAGAAAACTGGCTAGCCGTAAGTAGCCATAAGTAGAAAACTGAAATTGGATCCCTTCCTTACACCATATACAAAAATTAACTCGAGATAGATTAAAGACTTAAATGTAAGACCTAACACCATAAAAATTGTAGAATAAAAGCTAGGCAGTACCGTTCAGGACATAGGCATGGGCAAAGACTTCATGACTAAAACACCAAAAGCAATGGCAACAAAAGCCAAAATAGACAAATGGGATCTAATTCTGCACAGCAAAAGAAATGATCATCAGAGTGAACAGGCAACCTACAGAATGGGAGAAAATCTTTGCAATATACCCATCTGACAAAGGGCTAATATCCAGAGTCTACAAAGAACTAAAACAAATTTACAAGAAAAAAACAACCCCATCAAAAAAATGGGCAAAGTATATGAACAGACACTTCTCAAAATAAGACATCTATGCAGCCATCAGTCATATGAAAAAATGCTCATCATCACTGGTCATCGGAGAAATACAAATCAAAATCACAATGAGATACCGTCTCACACTAGTTAGAATGGCGATCATAAAAAATTCAGGAAACAACAGATGCTGGAGAGGATGTGGAGAAATAGGAACACTTTTACACTGTTTGTGGGTGTGTAAATTAGTTCAACCATTGTGGAAGTCAGTGTGGCAATTCCTCAGGGATCTAGAACTAGAAATACCACTTGACCCAGCCATCCCATTACTGGGTAGATACCCAAAGGATTATAAATCATGCTACTATAAAGACACATGCACACGTATGTCTATTGTGGCACTATTCACAATAGCAAAGACTTGGAGCCAACACAAATGTCCATCAATGATAGACTGGATTAAGAAAATGTGGCACATATACACCATTAAATGCTATGCAGCCATAAAAAAGGATGAGTTCATGTCCTTTGCAGGGACATGGATGAAGTTGGAAACCATCATTCTAACCAAACTATCACAAGGACAGAAAACCAAATACCACATGTTCTCACTCATAGGTGGGAGTTGAACAATGAGAAAACATGGACCCAAGGCAGGGAACGTCACACACCAGAGCCTGTTGCTGGCGTGGGGGAGGGCTGGGGGAGGTATAGCATTAGGAGAAATACCTAATGTAAATGACTAATTGATGGGTGCAGCAAACCAACATGGCACATGTATACCTATGTAACAAACCTGCACGTTGTGTGCATGTACCCTATAACTTCAAGTATAATAATTTTAAAAAAGTGTTTCCACAATCCAAATTCTTTTTTAGATACAGCCATATTTACATAAAGTCTAATTTGTCTGCTTTCTTTAATAGAACTCCCAAAAATTACTATAATATCTTTATTTACTCTCTAACCTTCCAATTTCCCTGAACTCATTTTAGTGAAATTTCTATGTTCACCTACCTGATTTACAATGCTTTTATCAAATAACCAAGCCTCCTCCTTGCCAAAGTCAATTTTCTTATTCCATCTCTCAAAAACATTGACACACTTCTAGAAACACTGATTTTTCCTTGTCTTCTTACATTTTCTTCCCCTTCCTCACATTTCTTCTACCTCACTGGTTGCTTCTTTTTAATCCTTTTAGCTGATTCTTCCTTCTCAGCTTGACTTTCCAATTGTACACCACCCAAGAGCTTATAATTTAACACATTTTTGTCTATGTTATCTCCAGCAGCCTCATCCAAGTCTTTGACTATTACTACAAGCTTATTGTTTTTTAAATATATATTTGGTTAAATCATTTCTTCATTATCTACTTTTATATATATAATTGCCTACTTGTTTTATGCACAAAAATTTCTAATAATCATCTCACACTCAACCAAATCAAACCAGTGATTCTAACCTCTATAAACTGTTCTTCCCCAAATTTTTCCCAACTCAAAATGTGACACTATGATTTATTGTATTTACAAACCAAAATCGTAATTTTCACACCATTTACAAGCTGATTTGATACGTCAGAAAGTCCCATCATCATTACTTCAAAACTAATTCTAAACCTGATCATTTGTCTTTTTCTCCTACCACCTTAATCAAAGCTCTTATTAAATAGCCACCTATTGACTTCTCTGCTTCCTCATTTAATCTCTTAGAAAACAAATCATATTACTCACTAGGTAAAAACACTTCAGTCACTTAGAGCCATTTTTCAAATAAAATTCAAATTCCTCACCAGGATCTATAGAGTTCTGTGTGAGCTAGCCCGTTTGTCTCTTTAATCTCATCTCTTTTCTATCTCCCTTATTGCTCTATGACAAAAACACTAAACTTTTTTCCCTCTGCCCTTTTAACAATCCAAACCTTCTTCAAATTGAGGTTAATTACACTTACTGTTTCAAATATGTGCATGAGGTGACTCACAGTAATTCAGATTTTACCTCAAATGTCTTAATTCCGGAAAGGAATTCTCTAAATCATCCCATCTAAAATATGCATCTGTTTTCCTCAGTCACGTTCAATCATATATCAGGTTTATTTTCTTTATAACATATGTCACTGTAGAAATATTAATGTGTTTTTAAAATTTGTTATTTACTTGATTTGTTTCTGTATAGTTAACATGTCAACTCCATGAAAGTATGGCTTTCTCTGGTTCATTCACAATACTTAGATGTGTCTAGATGTGTCTAGCACATTGTAGAAGTCTCATGAATATTTCTTGAATAACTGAAATGTTATTTTTTAATTCTTTTCTCCAACATAAGACTTGATCTTTTGCCTTTCAAGCCTCACTTTTTAAAAAGTACAGCATTAAGCATATTAGACACTTCTTAAAAGTAATAAAATTGGATTTAACATTATTTTAATAGATTAGTTGCTTTTAAGAAATAAGTTAAAACATCACACATGGAATAATCAATGATTTGCAATAATTAGTAAGACATAATAGAAAATGTACATTTCTCAATACAAAGCATAATTAGTGAGTAGAATCCAAGCTTGGGCCTGGATTTTAATAGTAATTCTCTTTGTCTCTGGCGGTATTACTTTCAATTTTTACTTGACACTTCTAATCTTCAGTTTACTTAGCTATAATGTGGGAATAATTTTAATTACAGTTGTCAAATTTATATATTTCCACAATCTATTCAATGAAATAATGTATGCAAACCACTTGGTAATGTGCCTAACAGGGTATTTAGAAAATTTTAACATTATTACTAATATTTTTAAGGTTTGAAATTTAAGTTATCACAATCTATTAAAATACTCTTAATTATCATTGTTACTTAGTTTATATACAATATGTTGGAAATAAGCTAGAAATTCTTTGGAAAAAATGCAGAGAAAAGTGCAGTAGCCTGTATTTTCTTTTTTTTAATTTTAATGAGAGTTTGGTAGGTTTTGATGCTCCAGAAATATAATGTAATGGTATAATGCCCAGTGGAATAGAATTGTTAGCAATAACGAAGATTAGAACAGAATTTCTAAAATTAAATATGTGTGAGTCTCCCAACTAAATTTACTACAGAATCTTCTATCAGAGGTATTATATGAAAACTTGTCCATGAGCAATTAAAGACATCTTTAACAAAAAACAGAAGGATGATAGCTTGTTATTCATTATAATGTTTTTCCATGATAGAATGACAAATCATTTACTCTAGTTGTAATGAATAAATTTAATGTCTGTAAACCTCAGAACCATCATCTGTAAACTGAGGATAAAAATAGCCATTACCTCATGGAACTAATATAAAAATTATAAAACATAATCAAACTAAAGTTTAACACAATACTTGCATACTCATTCAATTTTATCTATTATTATAATACAATTATATGAACAGTTAAGCATTTGAACAATATACTTGTTTTTTAGATTACAAAGTTCAGAGAAGAAGTTTTATAGTGATGAATGGTTATTAAGTTATGTAAGACAAAAATACAAAACTCTGATGTGAGAATCAAAAGAATTATAAATGAATATTGTTGAAGTGATAAGAGTTAATAGCTATACAGTTCTTTCCTCAAGAGTAAAATCTTATGATAGAATTTTTTTTATGATTCTGGACATGAGGCAAAACTAATGTTGGTGTTTTGTTCAGTGTCCGCTTTGTCAGGAGGATAATTTGTCCTTTCATATAAAGGGAAAAGAGAAAAGTCATTCAATTTACAAATATATTTTAAGTATCTTCACCATGTGAAAAATAAGAGATGGATCATTTTAAGCAACGATAAATAATATCATGAACGAAGATTTATAAGCAGAAAAAACATATAGCATTTCAGGGGCAAACAGAAGAGAAGAAAGACACAGAGAGAGGTAATTGGCAGAAATTTGTACAGGACATCATCAATCAAGCTAAGGTTTACAAATTTTGTTTCTCTTTAAAGGCAGGACAAAATCTAGATTCAAATAATTCTGTCCTCTAAAACTGGACATATTTTGACTTCATGTTATGGGAGGAAAGTCCAAAAAACTTACAAAGAAAATAAAATTAATCCTATAAATAAAATATATCCTAAAAACATTTTGACAACAACAACAAAAATAGACCAAGAGAGACTTTTTTATAAGAATGTGATTCAACATAATGCGAAAGAGGATTTAGATTTTCAAAACAGTAAGATTAAGCCTATGATAATTCATACACTGAAAAAAATAAGACTTTGAGAAAAAATTGAAATTATAACCAACCCACTCTTCTTGGGCCAGTTTTTACTCCCTTGTACCATTTGGCGAAATAATCTTCCAAGGTTTAAGTAAAGACTGATGGTCTAGATTGTCTCTAAGAAATAGCTTTTATGAATGTATTTAGAAGGAGAAAGACTAAAAGAATATATCAGATAGATGGAGAGGTAAATAAACTTTCATATAAATAATAGACAATAAATACTACAAAATATTTGTATATATATTTTACATAGAAGACAAACTTGTATAATATATCTATAACTGGAAATATCACCTTGCTATAATAAAGCCCTAGCTAATTTAGTTTTTAAGTTAAAACTGATTCTAGTACCTACAAGTTAGATAATCAAGGAAAAATAACTATTTTTCTTGAGATCACCTTAAAATTTTCAAGAATCCGAGAGCTTAGAAAAAAAGGCCAGTACTATTTCCATATGATTCAAGAGAGGTATAAGTTTAATGTAAAGATATTGGATTCTTTTAGCACTAGCCAGTATGTTCAATTTTCTTTAGCTAATTTATGTAAACGCCACGAAATTAGAAATTAAATAATTAAAAAAATGATATTCTGAATTGCTAAGGCTCCAGCCTCCACCACTGTGATTTCTTTGTATCAGTTTGCTCAAAGATCCCACCATATTTTCTCAGGAACACATCCATTATACTTCTGTGCCAGTCTCTTCATCATATCACAATCACATCGTAGTTCTAAGGTCAATCTCCCTGACAAAATTGTTTTTCTGTTGGTCTTATCTAATTTTCTGGTTATCTATGACTATGTAACAAAGTATCTGAAATTTAGTTGCCTTAACAAACAAACATTTTATTTTATCACCTGGTTTTGTGAGCATCACTTACAGCTTAGTTTGTCAATTTATCTGATTTGTGAGGCATTGACTGGGGTCACCGTGTGTTATTCAGCTTCGTGTCTAAGACTGTCTAGAGAATAAACAATCATTCTTTGCCTGCCATCGCGGCAGGGAAGTGCAAGGCTGGTATCAGCTAGGCCTTTTTCCTTTTCCATGTATCTTAGGGCATCTCCAAGAAGCCTTTCATGCAGGGTAGTCAGATTCTCTTGGTGATTTTAGACTTTGAGTCTTCCAGGTGGAAACTGCCAGTCTTCAGGGTCTAAATGGGCATAGTGTTACTTGCATCACATTCTTTGGTCATAGCTATTATGGGCCAGACTGAATTCAAGAAAGTAAATGAGTACAATCACCATGGGGAACACTTTGGAGGTTCCTCACAAAACTAAAAATAGAACAACCATATGATCCAGCTAACCAACTGCTAGGTATATGCCCAAAAGAAAGGAAATCAGTATATTAAAGAGATATCTGCACTCCCATGTTTATTGCAGCACTAGCCAAGATTTGGAAGCAATCTAAGTGTCCATTAACAGACAAATGCATAAAGAAAATGTGGTACATATACACAAAGAGCTCTATTCAGTCATGAAAAATAATGACATCCTCTCATTTGAAACAACATGGAGGAAAATAATCCCCACCTCTTGAAGAGTATGGTGTCAAAAAGTTTACAGACATCTTTAATAAGCCACAGATACTACACTGTTGATAATACACTCCAGTCTTATTCCCACAGTCTTGCAAACCTCTACGTAAAACAGCATACACTCACATTTCTCTCAGAGAAGCACAATGTGCATAAATAAATCTTATCCCGGAGATAATCTCCCCTGTTGGCACAGTATGCAGTTGAGCTCCTGTGGTATACCACATTTTGAGAGAAAGGAAAAAAACGATGGAAGCAAAGAAGAAAGGAAGGAAGAAAGGAAGGGAAGGAGGGAGAAAGAGAAGGAAGGAAAGAGGAAGAAGAAAAAGAAAGGAGGGAGATAGAAAGCACTGTGTGAAGAACAGAAGGAGGAGGACAATAAGGTAAAGCAGCATACATAGAATATGTATTCCATAGAGTAGTATTGAAATTTGTCTTTCACAGATAATAATATCTCAGAGATAAGATATCTGCAGGCATCACGGTGGATAATAAAAACTTAATAGAAAATGAAGATGGGGGAATAAGGGAGTCACAATTTACCCAGGCTGGGAAAATTGCCTGAAAAAAACAAACAAACAAACAAGTAGGACACAGTAGTAAGTGTATGGGGAAAAAGAGATGAATAAAGCATGATGAATAATAAAAGATAAGTTTGGTTTAGAAGAGTACAAACATTTTGTGAGATTTCATAGCATTAAACTAAGAATAGAAAAAGAAGAACCTCAGACAGATATTTTGAACATAATAGATAGAAAAGTATTATTTTAGATATGTTAATCTGAATTAAATAGCAAAAATAACTTAGAAGATAGGTGTCAAGGCATACAGGTCTTTTAAAGAGGCTGTTGTTTAATCTCAGTATGAGATTGCAAGAGAAAACAAAGGGTAAATCTGACGCACATTTGTAAGGAAGAATCATAAATTTAGGACATTAATACTGGAGTAAAATTTTTTTTCTTAAACTTTCAATGTTTTTTACTTTATTTACCTTTAAGTGCACACATCTCCTGAAAACACTGCCTTTATCTGAAATACAAAACCTGCACTTCATTTTCATCAACTATTCTAATAAATCATGTTTCATCAAAAGTAATAAAACAGGGTAAAATAAAGATAAATACTATATTCATTTTCATTCTACTGTTGTAGTGTAAGTTTTCTTGAGCACTACAATTAAGGCAACCAGTAAGAAGAAAAATAAGCACTTGAGTGTTTTTAATTTGACGATGAAAATTGAATTTTGTCAGATTTATGGTGATGACCTGTTATTTCCATTTTTTGATTAGTGCTTAATAATTTGGCAAATTGTCACTTAGTTGACTTTGCTAACACTATTAATTTGCATAAAAGTGTAAAAAGGAGAAGGTTTGTCATTGAAATCTTTTTTTTTTTTTTTTTTTTTTTGGAGATGGAGTCTTGCTCTGTCCCCCAGGCTGGAGTGCAGTAGCGCGATCTCCTCTCACTGCAACCTCTGCCTCCTAGGTTCAAGCAATTCTCCTGCCTCAGTCTCCCGAGTAGCTGGGACTACAGGTTCGCGCCACTGCACCCGGCCAGTTTTTATACTTTTAGTAGGACAGGATTTTGCCACATTAGCCAGGCTGATCTCAAACTCCTGACCTCGTGTGATCCACCCGCCTCTGCCGCCCAAAGTGCTAGGATTACAGGCTTGAGCCACCACGCCTGGCCAAAATATTATTATTTATTTTTGGTAACTTTAAATATCATTTTCAATTTTGTAGGTTATAGCAGAGCAGTGTATAATATATGTAAGAGAACAAAAATAAATTTCTAAGGGGCCACAAAGTGCTAGTAACCTTATTCTTTGGAGGAAATAGTATGTAATTATTTTCCACTACTCTGAGTGATTGCTGTACTAGAACATACAGTCAAACTCATTTCTACAGTGTCCCAAAGAGAGTGGTATTTTTTGTTGTTTCTCACTGATGGGGATTTAACTCTGCATGTCTGACATTGAGCTGAATAACTCCTACTGGGATTTGAAAATCTTTTCACAATAGGCAGACTTTTTGTATGCATAGACTGGGAGAAGTAGCATGGATTCACGGTAAGGAGATTTAAAAGTTGTAGATTTAGAAAAGAAGAAATTGAAGAAAGGATAATTGTATTATAATTACTTTTTGTTCAGTATTCTATTTCAATGACAATAACCAATTTGCTCATTATTAAATCCATAAATGAGGTTATAGTACTAGTCACATTCATTCAAAGGCATTTTAGGGAGAAATATAATAACCAATGAATTAGCTGAAATTTTAATTTGTAACCACTTATTTCAAAAATTCAGTTATATGGAGGGTACAATATTAATGCCAAATCATGTAATATATTTTATATTCTGTCAATTTATGTATCTTTATTTTGGGTACACTAACAAATCTTAGTGATCATTGTCTCCCTTTCCTAAATAATAAAGTCAATATTCCTTTCTGATTTACAGGAAAAAAAATGCATTAAAAAATAGATTCAGGTGATACATGTGCAAGCTTGTTACATGGTCATATTGTATAATGCAGAGATTTGGGCTGCTACTGTGCCTGCCACCTGAATATTGAACATTGTAGTCCCTTGCCTTTTCTTCCTATTTGATCAGTATGCTTTTTTTCCCCATAAAAGGAATCATTTACACTACAGTATGTTTCTGACTTTTTTCTATGGCGTGTCCCCATTATGACACAACCCACTATACTTGACCACTTTCTTCCCAGCCACTAATGTGAGTTGCCCTATTTATTTTGGGCATCTTCGGTTTTCCTTATGTTTCTTGCTATGTCTTCTTACTTTTAGATATTATTTTGCCAATTTTCTTCTTTTTTAACATGTCACTCATCTTCTAAATACCTCCCTTTACAAACATCGTTCTAGTTATTTACCATAATCCAAATGAAATTTGAATTCAAGATATTTTAATGACACAATATTAATTGAAAACCAATTCACACAAATATAATAATGTTTTGAATACAAGGTGCCACTGACATAGTGGGAATATAGATTTTTATAGTCTTTGGCAAAGTAGAATGTAGCTAGGTTCTCTATAGATATGTGGGGATGTTACCCTTCTTTATTGAACATGTGTGAAAAAATTAATTATCTTCCATGCAAAATAATTCATCTATAGCATATAGAAAAAGATGAAATTCATCTTCTGTCTGCACACTTATGTTCATTCATCTCATCTCCAAGCTAGTCATAGACTGAACACAAAGCAAAGACAAGTGTACTCAATCTCTGAAAGCAAACAGCTGCACCAGAGACGGGGTCAAGGACATGTGCATAAGCATGCATGCAGCAATTAGTATTACATTGGACCCATTTCCTTCTTTGAGTGGTAGCTAAAACAACACAAATCTGGATGACACAAATTTTAATGAAAAAATTATTTACTGTAATCTTCAAACTCCTAGTGTGATATTGCTTTCCTCTCTGCTAGAAGCAAAATAACCTATTTATTATTCAGAAAATTATTCACTGAGTTAGATAATATCAATGCCATATGCTTACTTGCTGGGAATTTCAAGGGTTGAAGCTGGCAATAACTTGAAATCTACCTATTAGCTTTATGGTTTAATTTTGGCTCTTGTGCCAATAGTAATGGAATAAAATATATTTATTTCCAAAACTTACAGCTTTTGAAGAGAAGAATAAATATATGTTAAGGAATAAGTAATATAAAAAACTGTTGTGGGAAAGCATTCAAACTATAGTCGGTCTTTTAATAATTTGGAATTTGTCACAATTAGACAAAAGGTGGCTTAAATATTATTTTGACATTACATATGAAATAAAGCATTGAAGGAAAAATAAAACTAAAGGTATAATATGCATATGCGTGTGTGTGTGTGTGTGTGTGTGTGTGTGTGTGTGTGTGTGTGTGTGTGTGTGTGTATTTATAGATGTCCCCAAAAATAGTAAGGAGGTACATAACAACAAAAAAAGGAACAAAAATTATGGCATTTTAACAGGGTATTTAAGGAGAAGTAGGGTTCTATCAGCTGAAGAAGTGAGGAGGAGCCGGTAGGACCATGCCTTTTGCTATCTAGAGTAAGATTTTAAACCATAAGGAACACAACTATTCTTGCTTCTGTTTCATAGGAATGAAGAAGGAAAAGACTAATTTGTTAAATTAAACAATCATGATTCAAAATACTTTTGACAGGTTGTCATACTAAATAAGATGAATGACAGAATGTTAGAGAAATACATGTAAGTTCTGCATTTAAATTAAAGCAGTGTTGATTAAATTCTCACTATTTAATTTTGTTACTGTACTACTTTGATAAAAAGAGTGATCCAAAATCAGATTATACACCATTGGTTACAGATAAACAGAAGATAATACTAGTGTTGTTTTCAAATATTTAAAAAACTATCATAAGTAATAAGAATGTATTTGTTGCTCTATATCACCTAGATATTAAAAATAAGGTCACTTACAAATGATAGAGAATCAAGAATCAAATTTGGGTTCTGTATACAACTTGTTTAAAGTATCACAATAAAATTACACAGTAAGCTTTCAATCGCTATGTGCATGTAAGCTAATACTCCTTTTCCAGAGGTATGCTGTTAACATTATATAAGAAAATTCATTTTCGCAAATATTAAACTGTACAACTCCATGAATGGTTTGGGGTTTTATTTGCTTTGTTTTGTTTTGTTGCTCTTTTTTTTACTTATTACTGAATATCTCATGCCTAGAATAATATCTAATATAAATTAGGAATTTGATAAAAATTAACAGAATGAATAAGTGAAAGTGTAACATAGAAATGGTTTTTATTATTTTGCACCTTACACAGTTCTAATGTACATTATACATTTATGCTTACAGAAAATAAATGGTCTTAAAATATCTTCAAAGATATAAGAAATGAAGAAAAATATATTTGAAATGTCTTCCAAATATAATCTCCTATGGTTTTCTATTCTGTTGTATTGTATAGTATCAAAAGGAAATTAATAATCCAGGAAAATCTTGTCTATATAAGGTAATATATTAATAAAGACTAATTTTGGTTATTTGCAATTTTGGAAAGGTTCTTACTCAGAGTTGTTAAACTCCAGACAATAGTCAATTTAGCCCTTTGTGAATCAATTTAACTATTTAATTATAATTACCTTTATTTTCAATTATCTCTTATCAGGCAGTTTAGTGTAAAAAATTTCAGATACAATACTTTTTAAACTAAACAAGAAAGCAGATCTTGCCCACTTGAAATAGGCAATTCCAAACAACAAATAGATTGATAAGAATTTCAGTAGATTAATATAAAACAAGTAAAGGAAAATAATAATTTTAGAACTTTGTTTCACTAGATAACCATCTTTTAAATATCCGTAGTAATATGCCACATGAACAAAGACCAATCATATTATGCTTTATAAAAATCACTTATATTCATATCATTTCCAATCAAGTGGAAATTTGCATTAAAATATAAAATAGGATTGATAACTGTGTAAAATCTGTTTTTTACTATTTTTTTCCTTTTAAAGTTGGCAATTGAGGGTATGCTGAAGTTATTCCAAAACAGTTACCATTTTCTTGCTTTCAAAACTACTTTTTTCCCTCTCTTTTTCTATCTTTCCAGTGTAGCTACCCTTCTCCTAGTTGTTTCAGTCTTGCTAAATAGCCACTTTGTCATTGATTTATTCAATTAAATCATTCTGGGTGTCAATAACATCATAAATATACCAAGTTTGTGAAATAAGGGATAAGTAAGGTATGGTTTCTGGGGTCAGATAAGTATGGAACACAGAAAATAATTATTAAAATACAAAATCAGAGACCAGAAGAGAGAGACCTAATTTAAAACCTGGAAAACTGTTTTTTGTTTGTTTGTTTGTTTTTGAGAAAGGAGTGCTGTTTGGGAAGGTAAGAATAGGATAGAGATAGTGGAATGAATTGCTCTGGAAAGTGGGATGGATATTTAAGAAATAAGAGGCTTAAGAAAGCATTGGACTATTTTTGAAGAAATACTCGTGAATATCAATTGGAATTAAGGCTGTTGAGGCAGAAATAATTTGATAAAGGTTTATTGGAAGGCAAATGTGAGGATTAACCTAAGAAGACATATCAACAAAGGTGAGAGTGTCCCATAGTCTGTTACAAATTGGAAAGCTGTTTACAGTAGAGATTAGAAGAGAGGAGGGGCTCCTTGTACTGTAGTTGTTACTCCGGAAGTTACAAACAGCTATAGATTGCAACATACAGGCTAAAATATCGAAGTGGGAAACAATCAGTAAAACCTCATGACTCAGAAATAAATCATCATCCTTTTCAATGTGGGTAGGTCATACATTAATCAATATGTCAATAATGTGAGGAAATCATTATTATATATATATATATTTTAACTCAAGACAGAATGATTCCATGACAAGTCCTTCCCAAAGTGGGTTGATTTGGAAACCTGTACATTTTTAAAGGAAACTGTCAAACGGGACCTTTAGAGTTACATTGGTATGACAGGCATGAGATGAAGCTGAAAGTGGGTAAAGAAGAACCCGAAGTATTTCTGCTCTGGGATTTTACCAAAATTCTGAAGAAAATGGGAAAGCATTGAAGGTTTGTAAACAGCAGAACTGTGTGACCAGATTTAGATTTGGAAGGAAAAAAATCGTACTAAACATTTATAATACATTAATTGGAGGAAAGTTCCAAGTGCTGGACAACAGGTAAGAAACAGAGAGAGAGAGAGGTTGGGGAGAGAGAAAGATAATGAATGAAGGAATCAGGGTCAGAATGAAGAAACAAAATATTTAGGTTGTGATGTCATCAAAACATGGGCATAAATTGGATATGAGAGATAATGAAAGGAAATTCAAATATGTAACACTCTACTCAAGTAACTTAGTAAAGAGTGATGTCACTGACAGTGACGTCTGTGGTGGTCATTGCTACAGAGAATACAAGAGCATTCTGGCTGTTGTGCTAAGGGTATGAGGAAGGTAATTTAAATTCCGTATATGATTGTTAAGTTAGAGGCAACTGGGATGTCTAGTTATCAACTGACTATAATTTTCTGAAAACTTGGAGAGAAGTTTGGCATTCTTATATAATTTGTGTTATCAAGACTTAACTGTTGAGAGGAAATCATAAACATAAGTGAGCTAATTTAGGTAGGATAATTTCAATACAGAGAAGAGAGGAGAAAACCAAAGTGAATACCAAGAGTGGCATGCAAAGGCAATATGAAAGTATTCAACTATGAAAGGTAAGGAATATTTAAAAAAAAACATTTTTATGTAATGGTATTACTAATATCCATATTTAAGGAGACACAGAGAAAAATTATAATGTGAGAATAAGCAGAACTCATGGTGATTACTGATTGAAAACCAAGCCACCCAGAAAAAGGAGAACCATAAGGACTTTCCACAGATATACTTGTTTCACATAACTTTAATAACAAAAGAGAGGAGAACAGGAGTATGGATGCAGAAAATTTGGTTTAGGCAGAAAAACAGAAGAGTTCCAAGATGATGGCCTTAATTTATTGGAGCGTGTCCATATGTGTGTGTGTGTGTGTGTGTGTGCATGTTCATGGGAAGAAACAAAAGAGAGCTGCTACCAGTGAGTGTGCAGGGAGTATGCAAAATTGGCTGCATGAGAAAGTTTGCTGACGTAGACTCCTAGGAAGGCTCTGAATGTGGTAGTGAAAGAACGAATGTCATCTGAAACTGCAAATAAGTATTGGTTCTTAGCTGAAAAAGTATGTGTTTTTGTCCCGCTGTGTTCAGGGATTGAATATTGTCACAGAGAAAGCAAAAATTCGACCTTACATAGATAGGTGGATGATACAAATTTGGGAACTGCCTGTGTAGGGTGTGGAGACACGTTAGATTAATGAGAAAAGTGGTTAGAGATATATTGGCTTAAAATCTGTAACGAACTGATTCATTGGGGAAAAAAGAGAAAAATATTGTTGATAGGGTCATAATAGGAAAAACCAACTTCATGATGAGTAAAAACATTTGGGATTTTTAAAGAAAGATTATCAATTTAAAGTTTCTTCATTCACTTTATTGAGCTGGTCAGAAAGTATTATTGAATTTTCTTCAAAATATCTCTAGTACTCATCACTTCTTTACTGTTTATACTTTAATTTTTTTCGATTTTCTCAAAGTTGTCAGGTTTTCCATAGGCACCATTGACACCTGACCCTTTCTACTCAATTCAACACTGATTCTACTTCAAGGCAAGCATAAACTCCTGAGCTACCATTGATCTTATCAAAACATACTTTTATGTGGGCATTATTGTCCTAACGTTTTTCTAAACTTGATAGAAGATTTTAAGCCTCCTTTCCTTTTACATTACCTCCATCTGTGGACTGTACTCGTATTTTACTGATCTCTAAAGATCCTCTTACATTACATGTTGATAACTTCAGCACAGAAGCCTTTTATACTCTGAAGCTTTTTTTAATCTTACATTCCAATATGTGTTTTCTCCTAAAAAATACTTCACCCCAAATTCAATCACAATAGGCCAGATGGTTTCAATGCATTTATGATTTCCCAGTATTTTTGTACCGTGCACAGCAGTGTCTGGGTGTGCTTTATAAAGTAAGTTTCTAATCTTTCTCTGCTCACTCTGTAGTAACCAATAGATGTTAAAGTATAATGTTACAGTCTATTTTCCATGCATATGCAAGATAGTAAATTACACTTGAGAAAATATACTTTCTTGAGAATTAGCTGGCTTCTTATTAACCAACTTCCTTTGTGTGGAAGGTATAAATCAAGACTCCTCGTGACATACACTAGTGCATTAGAAGTCAGAATTGATGACTGGAGCAAGCGTGGATTTTTCAGTCATTGCACTGTAAATCTTTATCTAATCCTGAAGATATTTTTTCAGCCTACACTTATTTAAGCGACTATAAAATTTATTAGCTGTAGTTACCATTAAACTCTTCAACAGTAGGTTATAAAAGTTTCCTATAACCAGTTTATGAAAAAACTTACGTTGCTGATACATACACAAAAGGCAAGCCTTGATAACCCATGAGAAATGACCAGTCTGTGTTGGGCAAAAATTGAAGCGTGGAAAAAGGGTAAGAGAATAATAAAAGCCCATGGATTGAATCTCATACTAGTTGCCTTGATGAATCAGTTATGTAGTAATGAGAAAAACACTACATTTCTCTGGTTCTGTTTCACTAATTGAAGAATGAATGAATTACAAAATGTAATTTCTAAGATTATTTCTCTTCTCAATATCTATCAAACCAGTAATTTTCCAGCTTTAAAACTGGAAATATGTTCAGGTGATGGAGAGTAATAACAGGTTTCAATTATAGATATTTTTGATTTTGCATACAAATCATAGTACCATTTTCAGTCCTAGATGATCAGAAGGAAAATGTTACCTTTTACATTCTCTGTTCATATTGCATTCAAAATTCTGTCATCTAGGTTGAGTAATACCAGACCTTCTGAAAAGCACACATTACAGGTTTGGTAATAGAAAATGGACTCTCTATATAAAATTGCCACTAATATCAAATGCAGATTTTTCAAAACATTTACCACTTGATGGCTTTCAAAACAATAATAAGAAAACAGAGATCAAGGGACGATTCATATAAAGCTTATCTCACTATTCACCTTTGATTTTCTAATTTGATTCCATTAGTAGAACCTATGCCTGTTTTTGGAAATCAATGTGATGGAAAAGTTGAAAAACATATCCATGGAGAAACACAAACACATGAAAAGCATCAGAGTTATTTATCAAACATGTGATCCAGAAGGTGTATAAGGTTAATTTTTTAGTTCTTTTTTTTGCATAATCCTATGCTATTTCTTTTATTATTATTATTATTATACTTTAAGTTCTGGGGGCCATAGGCAGAATGTGAAGATTTGTTACATAGGTATACACATGCCATGGTGGTGTGCTGCACCCATCAACCCATTGTCTACATTAGTTATTTGTCTACATTAGTTATTTCTTCTAATGCTATCCCTCCCCCAGTCCCCACCCCTATAGGCGCCTGTGTGTGATGTTCCTCTCCCTGTGTCCATGAGTTCTCATTGTTCAACTCCCATTTATGAGTGAGAACATGTGGCGTTTGGTTTTCTGTTCTTGTGTTAGTTTGCTGAGAATGATGGTTTCCAGCTTCATCCATGTCCCTGCAAAGGACATGAACTCATCCTTTTTTATGGCTGCATAGCATTCCATGGTATATATGTGACACATTTCCTTTATCCAGTCTATCATTGATGGGCATTTAGATTGGTTCCAAGTCTTTTATATTGTGAACAGTGCCACAAGAAACATACACGTGCATGTGTCTTTATAGTAGAATGATTTATAATAATTTGGGTATATAGCCAGTAATGAGATTGCTGGGTCACATGGTGTTTCTAGTTCTAGATGCTTCAGGAATCGCCACACTGTCTTCCACAATGGTTGAACTAATTTACACTTCCACCAACAGTGTAAAAGCTTTCCTATTTCTCCACATCCTCTCCAGCAGCTGTTGTTTCCTGACTTTTTAATGATCACCATTCTAACTGGCATAAGATGTTATCTCATTGTGGTTTTGGTTTGCATTTCTCTAATGACCAGTGATGATGAGCCTTTTTTCATATGTATGTTGGCTGCATAAATACCTTCTTTTGAGAAGTGTCTGTTCATATCCTTTGCCCACTTTTTGATGGGGTTGTTTTTCTCTTGTAAATTTGTTTAAGTTCTTTGTAGATTCTGGATATTAGCTCTTCGTCAGATGGATAGATTGCAAAAATTTTCTCCCATTCTGTAGGTTGCCTGCTCACTCTGATGATAGTTTCTTTGCTGTGCAGAAGCTCTTTAGTTTAATTAGGACTCATTTGTCTATTTTGGCTTTTGTTGCCATTGCTTTTGGTATTTTGGTCGTGAAGTCTTTGCCCCTGCCTATGTCCTGAATGGTATTGCCTAGGTTTTCTTCTAGTGTTTTTATGGTTTTAGGTCTTATGTTTAAGTCTTTAATCCATCTTGAGTTAATTTTTGTATAAAGTGTAAGGAAGGGATCCAGTTTCAGTTTTCTGCATATGGCTAGCCAGTTTTCCCAACACCATTTATTAAATAGAGAATGATTTCCCCATTGCTTGTTGTCAGGTTTGTCAAAGATCAGATGGTTGTATGTAGATGTTTGGTGTTATTTCTGAGGTCTCTGTTCTGATCCATTGGTCAGTCTCTCTGTTTTGGTACCAGTACCATGCTGTCTTGATTACTGTAGCCTTGTAATATAGTTTGAAGTCAAGTAGTATGGTGCCTCCAGCTTTGTTCTTCTTGCTTAGGATTGTCTTGGCTATGAGGGCTCTTGTTTTGTTCCATATGAAATTTAAAGCAGTTTTATTTTTCTAATTTGGTGAAGAAAGTTGGTGTTAGCTTGGTGGGGATAGCATTGAATCTATAAATTATTTTGGGAAGTATGGCCATTTTCATGATATTGATTCTTCCTATCCATGAGCATGGAATGTTTTTCTGTTTATTTGTGTCCTCTCTTATTTCGTTGAGCAGTGGTTTATAGTTCTGCTGAAAGAGGTCCTTCATATATAGATAGTTTGAGACAATCCCTTGTAAGTTGTATTCCTAGGTATTTTATTCTCTTTGTAGCAATTGTGAATGGGAATTCACTCATGATTTGGCTCTCTGTTTAACTGTTATTGGTGTATAGGAATGCTTGTGATTTTTGCACATTGATTTTTTATCTTGTGACTTTGCTGAAGTTATTTATCAGCTTAAGGAGGTTTTGGGCTGAGACGATGGGGTTTTCTAAATATACAATCATGTCATCCACGAACAGAGACAATTTGACTTCCTCTTTTCCTAACTGAATACCCTTTATTTCTTTCTCTTGCCTGATCTCCCTGGCCAGGACTACCAACACTATGTTGAATAGGAGTGGTAAGAAAGGGCATCCTTGTCTTGTGCTGGTTTTCAAAGGGAATGCTTCCAGTTTTTGCCCATTCAATATGATTTTGGCTGTGGGTTTGTCATAAATAGCTCTTATTATTTTGAGATACTTTCCACCAATACCTAGTTTATTGAGCGTTTTTAGCATGAAGGGCTGTTGAATTTTGTCGAAGGCTTTTTCTGCATCTATTGAGATAATCATATGGTTTTTGTCATTGGTTTTGTTTATGTGATGGATTATGTTTATTGATTTGCATATGTTGGACCAGCCTTGCATCCCAGGGATGAAGCTGACTTGATTGTGGTGGATAAGATTTTTGATGTGCTGCTGGATTCGGTTTGCCAGTATTTTATTGAGGATTTTTGCATCGACATTCACCATGAATATTGGCCTGATATATATATATATATATATATATATATATATGTGTGTGTGTGTGTGTGTGTGTGTGTGTGTGTGTGTGTGTGTGTGTGTGTGTGTGTGTGTGTTTCTCTGCCAGATTTTGGAATCAGGATGATGCTGGCCTCATAAAATGAGTTAGGGAGGATTCCCTCTTTCTCTATATTTTGGATTAGTTTCAGAAGGAATGGTACTAGTTCCTCTTTGTACTTCTGGTAGAATTTGGCTGTGAATCTGTCTGGTCCTGGCCTTTTTTTGGTTTGTAGGCTATTAATTACTGCTTCAATTTCAGAACTTGCTATTAGTCTATTCAGGGATTTGACCTCTTCCTGGTTTAGTCTTGGGAGGGTGTATGTGTCCAGGAATTTATCCATTTATTCTAGATTTTCTAGTTTATTTGTGTAGAAATGTTTATAGTATTCTCTGAAGGTAGTTTGTATTTCTGTGGGATCGATGGTGATATCCCCTGTATTATTTTTTATTGCATCTATTTGATTCTTCTCCCTTTTCTTCTTTATTAGTCTGGCTAGCAGTCTATCTATTTTGTTGATCCTTTCAAAAAAACAGCTCCTGAATTCATTGATTTTTTGAAGGGATTTTCGTGTCTCTATCTCCTTCAGTTCTGCTCTGATCTTAGTTATTTCTTGTCTTCTGCTAGCTTTTGAATTTGTTTGCTCTTGCTTCTCTAGTCCTTTTAATTGTGATATTAGGGTGTCAATTTTAGATCTTTCCTGCTTTCCCTTGTGGGCACTTAGTGCTATAAATTTCCCTCTACACATTGGCTTAAATGTGTCCCACAGATTCTGGTACCTTTTGTCTTTGCTCTCATTGATTTCAAAGAACATCTTTATGCCTGCCTTCATTTTGTTATTTACCCAGTAGTCATTCAGGAACAGGTTGATCAGTTTCCATGTAGTTGTGCAGTTTTGTGTGAGTTTCTTACTCCTGAGTTCTAATTTGCACTGTGGTCTGAGAGACAGCTTGTTATGACTTCCGTTCTTTTGCATTTGCTGAGAAGTGTTTTACTTCCAATTATGTGGTCAATTTTAGCCTAATTGTGGTGTGGTGTTGAGAAGAATGTATATTCTGTTGATTTGGGGTAGAGAGTTCTGTAGATGTCTGTTAAGTCTGCTTGGTCCAGAGCTGAGTTCAAGTCCTGGATATCATTGTTAATGTTCTATCTTGTTGATCTGTCTAATATTGACAGTGGGGTGTTAAAGTCTTCCACTATCATTGTGTGGAAGTCTACGTCTCTTTGGAGGTCTCTAAGAACTTGTATTATGAATCTGGGTGCTCCTGTATTGGGTGCATATATATTTAGGATAGTTAGCTCTTCTTGTTGAATTGATCCCTTTACCATTATGTAATGCCCTTCTTTGTCTTTTCTGATCTTTGTTGCTTTAAAGTCTGTTTTGTCAGAGATAGAATTGCAACCTCTGCTTTTTATTTGCTTTCCCTTTGCTTGGTAAATCTTCCTCCATCAGTTTATTTTGAGCCTATATGTGTCTTTGCACGTGAGATTGGTTTCCTGAATACAGCACGCTGATGGGTTTTTGACTCTATCCAATTTGCCACTCTGTGTCTTTTAATTGGGGCATTTTGTCATTTACATTTAACGTTAATATTGTTGTGTGAATTTGATCCTGTCGTTATGATGCTAGCTGGTTATTTTTCCCATTAGTTGATGCTGTTTCTTCATAGCGTCAATCGTCTTTATAATTTAGTATGTTTTTGTAGTGGATTGTACCGCTTGTTCCTTTCCATGTTTAGCGCTTCCTTCAGGAGCTCTTGTAAAGCAGGCCTGGTGGTGACAAAATCTCTGAGCATTTGCTTTTCTATAAAGGATTTTATTTGTCCTTCAAGCTTAGTTTGGCTAGATATGAAATTCTATCTAGGGTTGAAAATTCTGTTTTTTAAGAATGTCAACTATTGGCCCCCACTCTCCTCTGTCTTGTAGGGTTTCTGCCAAGAGATTTGTTGTTGATCTAATCGGCCTCCCTTTATGGGTAACCTGAACTTTCTCTCTGGCTGCTCTTTACATTTTTTCCTTCATTTCAACCTTGGTGAATCTGACAATTATGTGTCTTGGAGTTGCTCTTCTCGAGGAGTATCTTTGTGGCGTTCTCTGTATTTCCTGAATTTGAATGTTGGCCTGCCTTGCTAAGCTGGGGAAGTTCTCCTGGATAATATCCTGAAGAGTGTTTTCTAACTTGGTTCCATTCTCCCTGTCACTTTCAGGTACACCAATCAAACATAGATTTGGTCTTTTCACATAGTCCCATGTTTCTTGAAGGCTTTGTTTGTTTCTTTTCACTCTTTTTTCTCTAATCTTGTCTTCTCACTTTATTTTATTGAGTTGATTTTCAATATCTGATATCCTTTCTTCTGCTTGATCGATTCAGCTATTGATATGTATGCTTCACGAAGTTCTCATGCTGTGTTTTTCAGCTCCATCAGGTCATTTATGTTCTTCTCTAAACTGGTTATTCTAGTTTGCAATTCATCTAACATTTTTTCAATATTCTTAGCTTCCTTGCATTCCGTTAGAACATGTGCTCTGTCCCTGGGACTTATCTATAAGACCCTGACTGGGGCTACTGCCTTTTTTTTCAGAGATGCCCTGCCCAGACAGCAGGAATTTCGTTCTTTATAAACAGATTTGTTTTATTAGAATCTTACTCAGAAGTTACTGGTCAGGTGCAGTGGCTCACGCCTGTAATTCCAGCACTTTGGGAGGCCGAGGTAGGTGGATCACAAGGTCAGGAGATTGAGACCATCCTGGCTAACACGGTGAAACCCCGTTTCTACTAAAAATACAAAAAATTAGCCAGGTGTGGTGGCGGGTACCTGTAGCCCCACCTACTCAGGAGGCTGAGGCAGGGGAGTATTGTGAACCTGGGAGGCAGAGCTTGCAGTGAGCCGGGATGGTGCCACTGCCCTCCAGCACTCCAGCCTGGGCGACAGAGTGAGACTCTAATGAAAAAAAAAAAAAAAACAAAACGAAAAAAGAAGTTACTGCGAAAAGTTAAAATGGAAAGTGTTCCATAATTAAAGTTAGATTTTGTACATGAATTATTAAAAAATAATCCTTTCCAGAATATACTATTTTAAAAAACTATTTTAAAAATTTTACTTTTTTGCTTCTGGGCTTTAAAAACACATGTAACTTTTGTGATATTATATAGTTCCAAGAAATGTTGTTAATGATGTCTGTACTTTAAAAAGTCATATCCATGATACGAATGATTCTATTTTATAGCATTATGCAAATTTGTTTTATTTCCAAGCTTTCAGTCATTTTTTCCCCAAAGCTAGCACCAAAGATTGCTTTGCAAGAATATCAAATCAAATTTCCACTCTCTGAAACATTTTGTGTGAGCTAGAAAACTTTCACATGAACAAGAAAATAATTAAGGCAGCAAAAGAGACCATTGTTCATGACCCAGGCCAAATCATAACATGACTACAACCAGATAATAAATGCTGCCATTTTCTAGTTTGGGATTTAATTTAATTATTATTATTATTTTTACAGAATCATGTCCGCTAATTATAATAGGTGGGATGATATGGACTTGAAAACAATCTCCCTTGACTTACTCAGGAGATACTTGTCTTGATTATTGCAAAAGTTCCCAGGCTCTAAGAATCAGTAAACCATAGTATTTTTCAATAAAAGCAGACATCTCTTTTGTGTTTTTTAAAATCCTGCATCCACTTAACAATAGTTAACACCTATAGCACTGGTCAGTCTACCATTTTTGTTATTTCACCCAACCATTTGTTCTAGCTCCTAAAGTTTCTTCTGGGCTACACTTATTGAATAATAACATTGTGCAAAGTATTAGGCACCAAGTAATTAGTCTGTAAACATATGTAAGTCCTCACAATGACAGGTAGAGCAAATTTAAAACATGTTTGATTCAAATTAAAGGTTTATTCCATTTCTATTGCTATAGAATAAATGGCAGTAACAATAATAATATATATTCTATCATTAATAGAAGGGAGAAATAGAAATTGTAGTGCAGTTGTGCACATTCAAGGTAAGAATAAATAAACTTTGAATTCCAAAGGTGAGAAAATCTTAATAGAAACACTCAATATTTATTATGTAGACACATATACACATAGATATACACACAAGCTATCACATATTCTATATAACTGTTCATGTATTTTGCCTAAGTATACAAAACTGTTTTCTTTTTGGACTCAACTGACTTTCATTTCACCAAAGATGCCAACACACCTCCTACTGCAGAGCTTTGTCATTTGTTGACACTTTGCCTACAATTCATTTTCCACTCATTTGCATCATCTCATTTTTATATGACTAGATAGATTCCATCTTTCATGATTCAAGGTAAGCATCATATCCTTAGGAAAGTCTTACCTGGCTAGCAATCTAGACACTTGTCCTTACTATTCAACATTTCAGCACAAGATTTGTTTTCTTCATAGTATCTATTAAAGTAGATTATCATGTGTTTGTATTTTCACCTACAGAGTTGCTGTAGTCACTAATATATAGTCAGCATCTTGTACGGAATCTGTTACCTAGTAGGCTCTGAATAAGCATTAATTGCACAAACAAAAATGTTAATTGTGTATATATTATGTTATATATCACAGATGTGTAATAATTCTTTGTCATTTAGGGAGTGACAAGGGATTATTTGAGAAGAGCAGCAATTTAATTCACTGTAACATACTTTACTGATAAAGTTTATAGGCCTTAATGAGTACAGTTTGCTATCTGCTTTTTCAGGAGTACTCAGTAAAGAATATTTAGAAACAAAATAACTCCATAAAACATCTGTTCGTATCTTAGTGTTGTTCTACTCAGTGTTGATTGGCTTGTCCTTAATTCGTTGTGATCAGGCCTCATGCAGAGAACTGAGAACAAACAAAAATGAAATATATTTCACCAAGTCATGAGCAAGTTTTTACATATTTAATGAATAAAAATCATACTTGTACATGTGTACTCAATTTTGTCAAAGTGAACTCAAGATTTGTCTTATTGAGCCTTACAAGTATAATAAAGAAAACTGTGACATTATCAAATTGATTTATTTTTTTCTCAGTTGCTTTTCTTAACTCTGCATTGAATTTTAATTGTTTAATTTGTGCAATTGGGAAAGATGTTGAATGTTAGGCAAATAATTTAAAAGTGGCCAAATCTGACATGTTCTTTTCCATTTATTTCATAGTATTGGTAAAAATTACAATTAACGCCATTGCTTGTTATCATTATAAATTAATTTATTTTGTTATGATAGCCAAGTTAATAGCAAAATAATTGCAGAAATATTTTTAATCCAGTATGCTAATTATCATTGTGAAGAATAACAAGAGTTTGCCCCAGAATATGTTCAAATTTTTAAGCATACATATCATCTAGCCTTTTTTATATCTGTATATATACTTTCCTATATTTATATACCACTATTCACACATTCTACAGCCATTTTTGTCAATAATATTTTTAAACAAGATCATAGCTCAGAGTTAAAATAAGGGGAATATTTAATAGAAATTATATTTTCCAAGGAAAACTCACCCTAAGAAAATTTGAATTAAATCTATTTATACAATATTATGTAAACATTTTTATAAAAAATACAAGAAAATGTTTTTAAAAAAGAAAAAAATTCAAACCAGTACACCACAAAATTAACTCAAAATTAATATTACTCAGACCCAGTTTCTATATTACCCTTCTGATTTAACAACATTTAACTCTTTTAATTTCAATTATGGGGTTTTTCAATGAAATTCTAAAAAAATTGTTTTATTTTTCCTTCTCGATTTATCAACTTTAGACTATTTCTATTTACTTCTTGTGAAGTATGAGAAATTCTGCCTTGTGAGACTTCTTTTATCTTTCCAAACCTTTTATTAAATTATTTTTAGTTTTTCATATATTTATCCTCTAATTTTAAGTGATTTGCTTAAATCTGTATTTCTTATTTCTCTAAATAAAGACAGATTGGATCTCAGACTTCATAAGATGAAAAAAAAATGCTAATACCCCTACTTTTAGCTACCCAAATTCTCCCTAATTCGACTTCTAACTTCAGATATTCAGACGACTAAAATCCATTGATAAGGTTTATCAAACTTACAGTTCCTACTGCAATAAAATTTAAAATATCTGTGTTTTGTAATATTTTGATTCTAAAATGGAAAACAAAGAGCATTTATATCATTAATGTAAATATTTTTTATTACAGAACATGACAGTGCATAGAGAAGAAAGGATAAGCATAAAGAAGAAGGTGTAATTTTCACACAGAAACTGCAAAATTTTAAAAAGAGCAATCTATTTTTAAGTTAAATATATTACATTTCATTGTGCTAAAACTCATGCTGCATTTGCATTTTCGTTCATTTGGATCACAACGTTTTGTGCAGCTCTTTTTTTAAAAAAAATTCTGATTACTTTGACCTTTTCCTACTTGGCAGAAACAGTATAAAATTTTCTCACACTACTGATGACATTATCCAGATTGTTTATCATAGTACTAAAAAAATGTTTTACATATTACTGATTGCTTTCTAAAGGGGCTTGCCCATTTGTTCTTGGAATATTTTTTCAACGGAAGCTCCTGCTTTCCGCTTTTCATCTTTTTAGAATTCCTTTCTCATTTTGCTAGAGCATATGTTCATTTTTTTTTCCTACAAATAACAGATATGGTCACTGACACTATACTTTGTCTATCTGTAAATATATTTTTATTTCCTTTTGGTTTTAGCTTTGCTAGTTTATAACTGTGGGTTCAAAGTTATTACAGTCAAAATCCTGGAGATATTTCTCCATTGTTTTATTATATATCATCCAATATTGTTCTCGAGAAGTCTGACGTTCATATGCAACCTTCTGTTTGTCCATAGTGATTTGAAAATCTATTACATACGATTTTAAAAGAAGGAATTTGGGGCTCCCATCGCTCTGTGACAACCACCGCCGCCCCCTGCCTAGCAACCGCCGCCCCCTGCCTAGCAACCACCGCCACCGCCCTGGCCTGTGAGGACCGGCTGTATGATTAGGCCATAATCTTCAATGAGTAAACATATTCCTCAGTTTTGTGGTGTTCTCTGTCACACATGTATGAAATTTCTGAGGGGCAGTGGAGATTACTACCAGGCACGGCATGACCTCTATGCAGACAAATGAACTGTAAGGAACGCCCCATAAGAATGGTTATCCTGGACACAGAAGTGTTGAATTGAAACCCGCAGAGCATTTTACAAGAGTTCTCACCTAGATGGGGTAAACCCTAGTGCCCTTACTTTCTGTTAGACTCAGTATTACTGAATTGAAGAATTACTGCTTCTTGTTAGGAGGTTCATTTCATTTATTATTACTTACAGCTTCATATTCAAAGCACTGAAAATTTCAAGTGGAGTATGTTGAAGTAGACTTCAGTTTCTTTGCATCATTTCTGTATCCAATTTTTAAAATTCTTTCATAAACCTATTGAGTGTTTTTTTCAATTAAATTAAGATGGCTTGACTCCTGTGGAAGTCACACAAAAAAACATGAGATTTCTTATTACATACAATCAAACCAATGTGACCTTAAACAAATTTAGAGAGGAACTTAAGAAGTATGGGGTTACCACAATAGTAAGAGTATGTGAAGCAATTTATGACACTACTCTTGTGGAGAGGAAGGTATCCATGTTCTCAATTGGCCTTTTGATGATGGTGCACCACCATCCAACTAGATTGTTGATGACTGGTTAAGTATTGTAAAAATCAAGTTTTGTGAAGAACCTGGTTGATGTATTGCTATTCATTGTGTTGCAGGCCTTCAGAGAGCTCCAATACTTGTTGCTTAGCATTAATTGAAGGTGGAATGAAATATGAAGATGCAGTACAATTTATAAGACAAAACCAGCATGAAGCATTTAACAGCAAGAAACTTTTGTAGTTGGAGAAGTATCCTCCTAAAATACAGCTGCTCTTCAAAGACTCCAAAGGTCATAGAAACAACTGTTGCATTCAGTAAAACTGGGGTGCCTCATGCTATTGCCTTGGAAGTGGAACTTGAGACGACCTTTTGTTATACATATTAGACAACATGTCGGCTTAGTGAATAAGTCTAATGAATCTTCCATAGGAGTATTGAAAGGCAGTTTTACCAGACCACAAGCTAGACAGATTTGACAACCTCTGTGTTTGGGCTACAGTTAAACAATTTGGACACTTGGCAAAAGATTTCTGGCTGTCAGTATTTAAAGTGTGCTTGTCATTCATACCAATTGACCTTTCCTGAAATCGTGCATTATTGAGTTATGTCTTGTTTAAATCTATTCACATGCCAGAATCTTAACAATATACAAGAAATTTAAGGTTAGGTGCCAAAATACCCAGCACAATACTTGCATATTTTTAGTATCATATAGAACTAAAATCCCAAGGAATTATGAACACTCTAGGCCTTATGTGGTTTATTCCTTCAATCTTTTCAAACATTGAAAGTAGGGCCTACATAGTTATTTGCTTACTCACTTTATGTTTACACCTCCCACATCAGGTTTATTTAAACCCCGATTTTTTTTTTACCAAGTCTTACAGTGATTACTTAACATGTATCTATAAATCTTACTTTGTGCTGTTATGTAAAAACCTCCATTTTGAAAATCTACATTATACAGAAGCATCTGTCTTTAATGTCTTCAGACAAAACAGCCTTACAGTTAATTTAATGTTTGCACTCTGAGATACAACTTAACAGGGAGGGCGGGAGAAAAGAATGGGAGGGGGCTATTAGTTATTTTTAGCAAAATATTGTCTTTGTCTTGTGCAGAACTTGTAGAATATGCTCTTTAGCTTAGTAAATATTTTTAAAGGTACAGTTGCTTTGTTATTGTAGCTAAAACAATTCTTATTCATAAAATTTCTGAAATTCTTATAATTTTTTCCATACTCATCAGAAGTTGTTTACCAACTTACTTTTGTTTGAATTGTGATTTTTTTTCCCTTTTCTTCTTGACTTCTCCTGAGAAAAAAGAAGTGGGTTTCTGCTAATAAATTGAGCAAACATCTAATATTTTGTATGTCTTTTGAGCTGTGTAACTTAATATTTGGATACCTGATAATTTGTTTCACTATGTACTTGATAAATGGTGATGTGCATTAGTATTCGTTCAACTATATATTTATACTGTCTGGGGACATGTTTTATAGTTCTTTGGGAGAAATAATTTGTCAGTGTGTACCAAATTGTAAAAACCTAGTGTGAGAGCTTAAACATCTAAATAAATAATGAAATTGAAATGCAGAAAAAAGGGAGTGGGAATTTTTACACGTTTTCTGTGAGGTAGTTAGTCAACACATTTAACCTGATGACACAGGTTTTTTCTGAATAATGTGTTTCTAATATTTTCTTCATATTTTCTCCCTCTACTTTGTATGTTTTCACTTTAATAGTTGGACATACTTAGATTGAACTTTACATCAATCAATTTTCTATGATATTTTCTATCTAACTGACTTTCGCATTATCAATGTTACCTTCCAAAACTTTAAAAGTTAAAACATTTAATTAAATACTTTTAAAACAATTTTAGACTTAGAGAAGAGTTATATTATGAGAATGCTTTAAAAAAGTTAGCCAGCTTTAGCAGAAAAGACACATGGGAAATCTTCAACAGAGAGCCCTACTCCACCATGATAATGCTTTTGCTTATTTCTCTCATGAAACCAGATTAATTTAGTGAGAATTTTGATGGGAAATTATTAGTCATACACTTCACAGTCCTGATTTGACTTTTTCTAGCACTTCCTTTTTTCTAATTTTAAAAAAAATCTATAATGGATACCCATTTTTCTTCAGTTAATAATGTAAAAAGATAGCATTGATATGGTTAAATTCACTGATATGGTTAAAGTTCTTTAGGGATAGACTAAAAGGATGCTATCACTGCTTTCGAAATTGCCTTGACCTCTATGGAGCTTTTGTTGGGAAATAAAGTTTTATATTTTTTATTTTTATCTTTTAATTTTATTTTTTCCACAAATATTATAAAGTTATCTTATAATTGAGACCCTTGAGGAGAATGGGTTTTACGACTAGTGGCGATTTTTCTTGTGCTTCTTTTGGTCTGCTGGTCTGCAGTTTTCTCTAGTTTGGTTTATTTACTTCCTAAATCCTATCTTCCTTATATTATCCAGAGATTTTGTGAGAGAAAATTGTTCAGGCAGCTTAAAATATTCTCTATGTTTTTATGAATTTTACCAGTTCCACTAGATATTTACTGTAATTTAAATAGAGTTTTATGGTGGAAACAAATTTAAGTGTAATTTTTCAGGCCACCATCTTGAACTAAAAATTAAACTGAATTTTTAAGCTACTATTTTTATTTTTTAAAAAAGAAATAAAATTATTTTAAAAGTTAGAAATAATAGTGACCTGCTGTAAACTTGGTGTTCGGATTACAACCTGTAACTTAAATTTGTAAAAACATTCATATTTCATCTGCTTTTCAAAAGTTAAACAAGTTTGCTTGAAAATATATAGTAGTCATAAGGTGTTATGCAGAGAAGAAAAAACAGCCTCTATATCAAATTTCATATAAGGAATTCTCTTGAGATGCACTTTTATAGAACATTTTACCTCACCACAGAATTTTATAAGTACCCGATCTTTTTTACTTCACCGTAAGAATACTTAGGCACAAAAGAGATAAATGGCATCCTCTGGGTATAGTCTCAGTAAAATGAAGTTCAAATAAACATCTTAACAACTAGAGAGCTTAATAAGGACTGTCGCCCCAGCCAGATAAAAGCAATAGACAAAATAACAACAGTACAAGCAACAACAATAAGCAAACCACTACAATTTTTTTAAATTGCCTTTAAAGATATTGAAAGCTGAAGACTAGCAATACAGAATGAGAGTCTAAGATTTCAATTTGTACTTGTCATGGAAAGCTAAACAATGTCCAGAAATTAGCAGTACCTTTTCTTTCTCATTTTATTTATGATAGTCAATGTCTTTGTTTGTTTTAGTTGTAGGTAGTAGAATAGTATAATGCTAAGTATATTTCTTAACTAGGGTTCACTTGGCAGCCATTCTAATAAATCTTTGTTCTTTTCTTTTAAGGTTTCTGCCCCTTTGTTTTAGAAAATTCAGAGACTGCACCAGGAATTCATTTTTTTTTTGTCTTTTTGGACAGTTAATGTTAGTAATTTAGTTTATAAGAAAAATTCCTTTGCAATACCTAAGTGCCTAGCATTCATTTGTTCCCCTCATGATCTCCTTGGCAATTCTTATATTTTTATGAGGGAAATCTATGAAATGCAATCAATCTGTGTGGGTTTTATATATGCACTCCCAACTGGCTCAGCTTGCTCAGATGTGCAGAAAACATCCGGGATCAAAACAAGGAGGAGAGGAAACTGAAGTCCATCAGGATAAACAAGAATAAAATGCATTTAATTTATTAATCAAACCACAAGTCAGTATTTTCAAAATAGATAATAAAGCATTCTTAAAACAAGATAGGAGACCATAGTATACTTTAAGTTGGTGAACATGCTAAAATGTTTTCTCTTCCCTGCTCGTGCTAAAGGATGAGAACAGCACATATACACAGACCCGGAGAAGTTTTGGTACACCTTTCTCTTGGAGACCCCATGAACTGTGGTGAATTAGAGAGGCTACCTTAGTGTCTTGCTTAGAGGTGAGCTTGCTTATAGCTTCATCAACATTCTGTGGTCAAGAGCAAGGGTAAACATCTCCTGTAGGATTTTCGGCCCAGTGGCACACATAAGAATCCAAAAGAGGGTTAAAGGATTAACCCTTGAAGATGTGTTTTGAAGATATGAACATTATAAAATTATAAATATGATGAGGCCTTCTCTTTAAGCTCTAAAATCCACACTATGCAGAGCTCAATAAAATACAAAGACAATAACAATTTGGAAAGAAACCAGAGGAAATATTCTTTGCCTTCCTATTCTTTAAAAAGAGCCTATCTGTATTGTACCCTAAATTTAAAAACATGATTCTGAATCTGGGAGCGTTGGGAGCCAGATGTTCACAGGGTTATGTCTTCATTTATTTCACTCAGTTAAAAACTCACAGAACAGAACAATGTGGCTACCCAATGTTTAATTTTATATCATGACTTTTATTTAGAATGAGTTGGTCAGCAGGAAAATCTATGCTTTCTAGTGTCACCTTTGACTTTCGAATCTGTTCCTTTTCCTCCACTGTATGTTACTCTGAGTCGTCCTAAGGCTGTGAGTGCTATTCCCAGGACTTTCACCTCCTGTGTATTTACATTAAACATTTCATGAAACAAAACACTATTCTGGAATTTAGAAGGTTGTTTCTTCACAGCAGTAATTAATAGATAGGTATGTATTTTTGTGAAGAGACAGGCTTTTCCTGGGGGAACAGTGTTAGGGACATAGTGCTGGGCTAAATAAAATCGAATAGCCTCACATCTGTCATGTCCTGACCATCTATGAGCTGAACCTTAGATGTTTATTGCATTAAATTATCCTGGGGGTTAAAATGAGTCCTATACTCTCTTCCTCAATTATTTAAGTTCCTTAAAACCAGAAAGTGAGACCGTATTCACCTTCACCACTGCATTGCCTTGCTGCCTAGGTTAGGCATATGGAAGACCCCTAAAATATATTTGTAAAAATTAATGAATGGATGGATGGATGGATGAACAAGTAAACAATAAAACAGTTAGTTGCCATCTAACTGGTTTCCACACATAACATTTATTATAACTTGCTTTTTAAATGAAATATGTATTATTTTTCACCACTAGATTACAGTGCACAATCAGCCTCTTTTTGGCCATTTCTGTTTCATCAGTGCCTAAGGAGCTAAATCAAGTGGAAAGCTTTATCTGAAATCCAGAAGTCTTATCCATTGAGCACATAAAGTGTAATACATTTTACATTTAATGAAGACATACATGGATTGCCATCCTAGAGCCCTGGCTAAATTATCTGACTCTCAGATGACTGTGTTCTGCCTACTTAACTTCTCTATGCAGCAACTATTACTTTTAATGTTTTTCTCCATCCTTTAACTAACATTTAAAATTATTTTGCACTTTCATTTGTAACTACCTAGGGGTGAAATGCAACAGTTATTTTTGTGGTGGTTAGAGTGGTCCCTGAAGAAATGCATTTAAATTTGCAAAGTACTTTAGTTGCTTTTGAGACTTAAATTACTGCTCTGTAAATGTAGCATATTGCAACTGCCAATGCTGCTATAAAATAATGTATTGAGAAAGATTATAGACTTGTCTAAGATTACCTTCTTTGTTGTCATTTTTGCCATCCACTTTCTACCAATTTTCTTTTTTCTGTATTAAGTGAAAAATGTTTAAGGAATTTACCCTCTTTCCTCATTCCAGAGGCAAATTACCTAAGCAGATTAAAAGACTTTGGCTATCATAGCAAGCTATTTTGGAATATCAGTGTCATTTTCAATATATTATTTTCCTTTTGAAAACCATTTATACGTAATGAAAAGTGAAATGATTTATAATAATTAGCCAGTGAACTCAATCCGGGCAGTAGTAACTTAATGGCTCATATCACATTCTCTATACAAATGTCATCCAAATATTTGGTTCCAGTTGGTTTATTTTGGAAAGGTTCCACAGTAAGACAATTTTGTCTGTCTTTGACAGTCAAAACTGTTCTACCAGTCTGCTTCATTAGTTGCTTTAGTTCAGCTAATATGCAACTCTCATGATCAATCCATGCCCTCAAGGTTTGGAGTCTTGTAAGAGGAAAAAAGAAAAACAAGAGTAGTCAATGAATTATTGGAAAGGAGTATTGTCACAAATGCTTTATGTTACTGTTAAAGCCAGAGACCCTGGAGGAAGAAGAATCTCGCTCCATCAGTTACAGATGGAGTGAGATTCATATTTATGCCTTCCAGAATTTCCTGATATTTCCATATAGATTATACAATTTTTTTAAAAAAATGTTGAAAATCCAATCAAAATTATTTTCTGAGAAAATTTCTCAATTAACTCTGCTTATTTATGCAATCTTCCCTTTGCAACTAACTACCCTTAATTAATCATTGTTGTTTTCTATTTTCTAAGTTGCTTTATAAATATGTGAATATTTGTGTTAAGTACATTCTTTTTCTTTCCCAATTTGTTATAAACTCTATTTAAAAAAAAGGTTTGGGTGTCCTCTGTGTCATCCTATATTTAATAATCTATTATACCAAAAATCTCAGATATAATCTCTTTCCCAGTTTTATTTATTGTAAAGAGTGATTATTGATACATACTGAAAAATTAAGTAAAATCAATATGAACTTTCCTTCACAACTGGAATTGATTAATTGAGATCATAAATTTAAAATGTAAATATGCCTTTAACACAAATTACATATTTTTTGTTTTATTGTTAGAAAATGTAATTATAGGATTACAAAAAGTTTAAGAATAAAAAGGTAAAATTTAAGTGCATAATAAGTCGCAAAATTTTTTTCTAATTTTGTATTTTACTAAGTGACATAAATGGCACATAATACAGAATTTGTTCTTTGCATATAATTAATTCATTGATTTGAAAATTGAATGAATACTCAAAAGATTAAAATATAATTACAACTATATGAGGAAATAAAATACATATTTATATTTTCATATACCATTTTACTATTTCCTTTAATAAAGATTTTTCTCTTTTACGAGTTATACTTTCCAGCTTTGGGCATCTTCCAAGTGCCTAGCCTGGGAAAACTGTTCTTTTTCTGCCTCTTTTAATCTTTATTGCCTTGTTAAGTCTAAATGATGACACTATGTTCTAAATATAAATTACCTACTACTTAAAAATTCTACCTAATCACTACCTTTGTTTAATCACTTCATCATTCATCACTTCATATTATTTTAGTAAGTTTCTTTGACTCTTTTAGATTCTTGCCCCCTAAGCAAATTTTAGTTTGCTGTTGTATTTTGAAACATTTCTTCAATTAACCTCTTTTTGAAGTAGCATCTTATTAGGATTTCTCCAAAATATAACAGAACTACTGCCAAAGGCTTTTTTACAGTTTCCTTTCAAATAGCATGTCTTTTCTTTTGAGCCAAACAGTTTAGCCTAGGTAGTACTATCAGAACAAATCCTGAATCTCAATGGTTTAACAGAACAAAACTTTGATTTTCTCTCATAGTATATGCCCAGTGCTGGCTATCAGGGAGCTTTGTTCAGCTTCGTCACTCAGGAGCTCAGTAAAGGAAGAATTAATATCCCCATATACTACCATGACCACTGTAACCCTGAGGGATAAAGTCAGGAGACTGGTGAATCACCACTCCCTTTCACCATTCTTAAACAACACTTTCTATTTGTGTCATCTAAACTACTATGTTATCTATTTATTCAAGTCACATGGCAACATTAGACTTGAAATGGGATAGAGAAGTGCAATCTCACAATCTGACCAGAAGGAAGAAATATTTTGAAACAAACATTAGAAATATTTTGTGAATGATATTTTGTGTTTGCACATTGCACTCCAGTCTAATTAACATAAGCAAATACCCAAATTTGTTATTAATGGAGGATTTTTCTTCTTGGGTACTTTGAAAACCGGGGACCCCTGGCCGGTGATGCCTCGGCCAGGCCTTGCTCAGCCACACTGGCATGCCCCAGCTCACCTGTGTAATAGCTTGTACCTGCATTTGGAGGTTCTGGAGATTTTGTACTATCCTCAAGTAAAAGAAGGATACGCTGGACATTGAAGGGTGAGGGGGGCGGAGAAGAATTTTATTGAGCGACAAAACAGCTCTCAGCAGAAAGGGGATGTGGCAGGTGGTTCCCCTACCCGAAGGTGGGAAAGTTCCCTGTGTGGCTGGGTCAGGGACCTTTTATGGACTCAGCATGGGGAGTGTGTGCTGATTGGTTTGTGAGTATGCAAAAAAAGTTGAAGCGAAGACACCATTCAAAGGTGGGCACGACAGTGTAGAAAAAACAATTACAAAAGGGTAGGTATGTGTAAAAACAGGTGAAGGGTGGGGACAGTCAGAGGAAAGTGCACCAAATGGGACGATAAGTTCTCAATCTGGTCAGAGGATTTTACCTGTAGCTTGGCTTTCAGGCTTTAAACTGTCCTTGGCTTGGAGGTGGGGTTTCACCGGGAGCCCGCCCCTATCTACCTAGGCTTTTGGCTGCCTCCTGCCACTGTCATTATTATGTTTTAGTCTCTGTGTTCTTTTCATTACTTTAATCATCACATGAAATTTTTTAGTTAATAATATTATTATTTTTATCTTACATTTAGGATTCACTGAGGCTCACAGGTTAAAGAATTGACAAAGTTCAGGATGGCAAAGTTAGATTGAAACGTCACTTGTCAGATGCAAAAATCATTGTATTAAATGTACCGTCTTATAATTAATATATGATAGTTGAACTAACATGAATGACTTCATAGTAAAGCCCATGCAAATTAGAGATCTTATCCATTTTAAAGATTTATTAATAACTTCAAGGATACGGGCAATCAAGCAACACAGGGAAAAGAGGGAGAGATATGACGATAAAAGGAAAGCTCCCAGATCCTTCCTTCCTGCATGGGGTGTGTTCCTCTGGAATAGTAAAAGAGGTATATAAGTGACGTTTATGAGGTTATCTCACATAGCAGGAAGAATTTCAGTTATAAAACATTTATATTTTATATCTTACAGAGTTATAGAACTTATCCAGGCCGGGCGCGGTGGCTCACGCCTGTAATCCCAGCACTTTGGGAGACCGAGGCGGGTGGATCACGAGGTCAGGAGATCGAGACCATCCTGGCTAACACGGTGAAACCCCGTCTCTACTAAAAATACAAAAAAAAAAAAATTAGCCGGGCGTGATGGCGGGCGCCTGTAGTCCCAGCTACTCAAGAGGGTGAGGCAGGAGAATGGCGTGAACCCGGGAGGCGGAGCTTGCAGTGAGCCGAGATTGCGCCACTGCACTCCCGCCTGGGCCACAGAGCGAGACTCCGTCTCAAAAAAAAAAAAAAAAAAAAGAACTTATCCAACATTTTTCAAGGAGCTTTGACTCACAAATTAATAGAATCTGGTTTATTTTACCATTAGTAAAATAGTAATTTTTTTACTAATTAAAAAATTTTTACCTAGTGTGATCAACTTAGCCAACTCAGACAACCGTATCTACAAAAACTTCATCTATAATAAATAATTATATATATATTTAATGCTTTAAATATAAAATATTGAGTTTATTAGAGATAACATATAACCCTATACCATTTATGTTTCAGTTAAATAAATATTATTTAAACAAATAAAAAATAGAATTAGGGAACAAGGGCAATTAGCAGTAATAATGGCAGGACTGGTTATACTAATACCATCTGTGAGAAAATTATAATATTTTAAAATGTTTCCTTCTTTAAAATGCAATTAATTTTACCTCTTTATTTTTATGTACATTTTTGTGTCTGATTAATTTTGCTCCTAATTATGTTTGCAAGATTCATTTTCTGGTATGCCTCTAGTTCACTCATTTTCTAGACTATTGAGTGTTACATAAATTCCAAAATTAACTTACATTTTAATGTTCTTATTTATATTATTTCTAGCTTTAAGCTATTATAAAAATTGCTGTTGCATGAATGCATACATGCACAAAATTCCTGTATTTCTGTTGACTATTTACCTAGAAAGGATAGATATGCTGTATTATAGGTTATGTAAGATATTATCTGCAAAGATGGTCACCAACAATTCCTTTCATGTTTGAATGTTTTTTAACTCTTTCGAAACTCTTCATTATATATTTAAATCATATAGGCTATACTACTGAGCATTCTTGACACATAAATGTAAGACTTCTTCAGAAGAGAACATACTATAGGGACAGTAAAAAGACCAGTGGTTGTCATGGGCTGGGGGGAGGGAGGAATGAATAGGTGTAATGCATAGTATATTTAGGACAGTGAAACTACTCTGTATGATACCCTAATGGTGGATATGTATCATTCCACATTTGTCCAAACTCATAAAATATACAACATACAGAATGAAATAATGTAAACTATGGACTATGGGTGATTAAGATGTATCAATTAATTTTATCAGTTATAGCAAATGTATCTCCTAATGGGATATGTTTATATTGGGGGAGGCTGTGCACGTGTGGGGGAAGTGATTATATGGGAAATCTCTATAACTTCTGCTCAATTTTGAGAGTGGATCTACAGCTGCTGTAAAAATCAAGTCTGTTAAAAAGATCAGAACATAAATACTAAGGGATTAATTAAAGAGATATTACCTATACTTAATAACGAGTAACAATGACATTTCTTTATATCCAATGGCAAGATTGACTATGTTTTAGTTTTTCTTTTTCCTTTTCCAATAATACTTCTCTAAATTGACTGAAGCATTTAGAAAATCCTTCTTTTCTTTTATGTAGTGTGAAATTTCAATTCAGTCAAACAGAAAATTCATTTTGACTTATAGCTCTGCTCTTATCAAGATAACAGTACACTGATTTCTGGTGTCAGTCCAATGTAATGACTTCAAGCTAAATAGTCTCTCAACAAAATCATTTGAGAATGAAATATTTAGGATTTTACCTACTAGCAAGAGCAGGTTAGGCTTGTAGGAATCCTTTTTCATTACTCTAAAAATTTTTATCCACACTATATCTACAGGCTTGTTTTGTAGACTAGCTGTTTGTTAATCAGTTTCTTTGTGTCTATTCATTATATGTGCTGTTCATGTCTAAAATGCCCATCATGTTTAAACACTGTGAAGCATATTGAATGTTTTCATAAGCTAAGCTTCTATTTTTCAGTGAAATTTGTTCAGAAAAAGAGAGGTAATTTGAACTCTTGAATTGAAGCTGGATTCCAAATAAGTTATAATTTTAATAAAGAAGTTTAGAAAGTCTTAAGTTTGCTGGTGGCTCATGATGTGTGTATGTGTGTGTGTGTGTGAGTGTGCGCGCGTGTTCAAAAACAATCTTATTTCTTAAAAAAAAGAATCATTTTATTTTTACTGCCTGGGTTTTGTTGTAACCTACACTAACATCAAACACTCAGGTGAAATCAATTCATCTTTTTTAGAATGCTTCCTTACGGCTGCTTCAAAAATCATCAAATAGTTTTTGAGAAATAGCATATACATTGTTTATCTTACTGTAATCCTTTTTCTCCATTCTTATTCTCAATGTGTTTTCAAATTAAAGAATAACATTCTTCTTGTTCTGCACTTTGGAAATGTGATTTCATATTAGGTCGGTATTGTAATATTTATTCTATCAGTGGCCGCAGTGATAGCGGTCTCCTAGGCACACATCTAGAAGTTTATCTTCTTCCATTTTTATAACGCAAAAAAGTCTCAAGAAATGTTTCCCCAAGTTTTTAGGAAACCAAAATGTCCCCCCAAATTATCGTTATGACATCCTTACTATCACAGGTGCACAAATCACACCCCTTTTTAGGAGTGAAGGCTATAAAGTTTAGAGGATATTTAGTACATAAGACCTTTTCTCTTTATTTCTTAACTCTATAGTTAAACGAAATTTGCCAAAATTTGTATTTTTACTTTTTATTGAATATACATATTGTTGGACAAAGTCTAGTTTATATTGGCCAAGATATCAGTGATCTTTTATTTTATGTTTTCTGCAGCTTTATTAAAATTTTTTAGAAATAGATTATATAAAGCTCTGTTTTTTAAACCAAAATCTGTAAGGGGAGTTTTATTGTTGCTCTGATTTGACACATTAGTTGATATACTGTAGAAAGCATGATTGTTAATAATGTCTGACATATCAGCTGTATTTGTAGAAGGCAAACACACTTCTTATCAAATCCCCCCTTTCTTTATACTCAGGTGCAACCTCTGAATCAGGAAATGTTGCTTTACCCAGATTCGTGAAGTAATCAAGGAAACTATATAATAATGTTTATTTGCTCATGTGGTACACACACATTAACTCAGCTGGCGTTGTTTGCGACTGAGCCTTATATGGGAGACAAAAACCTTTGCTTGATTTAAAAGTACATAGGTCTCATCCTAGAACTGTGATTGTCAGTATAAACATGTATTTCTATATCCACTTCTTCACCATGTCCAATCCCAAATTCCTTTCTGCATATTTTGCAATATACTCTGTCGTGATTTTTTATTTCCCAAATTCAGTTGCATATGACCTTCCATCTATCAGTAAAATAACAGATCTATTTAGCCTGCATTTATGGTGATGTATGGATCATGCTGGCATTGGTATTTTAATGGTTCTCATTTTCATTATTTGAACTTTTATAAAACATGATCATGATCACAATATTCAAATTATGAAAGTATCACTATACTGATAGCATAACATTTTATGTGCAGGCAATGTCAAAGGACTGTTAACACCAAGGATTACAATGCACTTAAATTGTGCACTTAAGTCTCATTACTTATAGTGATGCAACAGTGGATGATCCGTTATTGCAAGACACAAATTACCTTCCCAACATCATCTTTTAAAGAACAAAACAGCAACAGTAACTATGCAAGATGGAAAATCCTTGCCCTATCCATTTAATACTGAAAATATGTTACTTTTAGCTCTTGTTTTGGGGCTGGCTACTGTATGGGTTTTGTATTCTCTCTACTCCACGTCCTACCTCCCCACACACCTCCACACCACTGCATTCATACCTCAAAATGGGTACATTTTGAATCCCAGTTAGGGATATGCTGTGACACTGAATTTTCAGTGCTAAGACAAAATCATTCCTGGGAAAACCAAGAAAATTGTTCTCCCTGTTCTCCCTACCTTATGACAAGTATACACTGCAAAGGGTCCTCTGCAGATAAGATATCTTTCTCTAAGCAAATATTAGTATTATGTTTTTCCAGAGATCTGATTGACATAAAAATTGTACTTGGTTATCTGTCTCCCTTCTACTTCATTGAGAATCCCTCTATGTAAAGGTCTTGAATGAATCATAGTGCAGCTCCTTTAGCTCCTTCCTCTTTATATGGAGATATAAAAATTATATCGACATATCCGTATGTGTATACACACATATGTTACACACAAACTAATGTCATATAATATTATTTTTATTTATTTATTTATTTATTTTTATTTTTTTGAGATGGACTCTCGCTTTGTCACCCAGGCTGGAGGGCAGTAGCATGATCTCAGCTCACTGCAACCTCTGCCTCCCAGGTTTAAATAATTCTCCTGCTTCAGCCTCCTGAGTAGCTGGGACTACAGGCATGCACAACCACATCCGGCTAATTTTTGTATTTGTAGTAGAGATGGGGTTTCACCGTGTTGTCCAGGCTGGTCTCAAACTCCTGACCTCAGGTGATCCACCCACCTCGGCCTCCCAAAGTGTTTATTTTTATTAATGGAATTCTTACCAAAGAGGAAAAAATAGTATAATGAACCAACAATTATCTACTCATGGCCATTCTCTAAGAGTTTAAGACTCACTTTTCAAATACAACCACAATATTATCACAATATCACAACAAAAAGAAAAAAATACAATAATAGTTTACTAGCGTGCGATATCTCATTTTGATAGAAGCAGGAGGCAGATAAATCCCAGGCAGACACGGGGGAGTCCCTGGTGAAACCCCACCTTCAAGCCAAAAAGCCTGAAACACACGGTCCAAAGTGAGAACTTCTGTTCCTCTTTGCCCACTCTCTCCCAATTGGTTATTTCTGAATAATGCCCTTTTGCCAATCAAATGTTGCCTTTTCCAAAACTACCTACGGCTTGCCCCCATCCTGTGCCTATAAAGACCCAGATTCAGTCATTAGAGAAGAGAGGGGTGGCTTGACTGGAGAGAGGTGACTTGACTTCAGGGAAGAGACAGCCAGACTTTGGGGAAGAGATGGCCGGACTTCGGGGGAAGTCAACCTGCCTGTCCTGTCCCCTCTCCAGCTCTCCTCTCCACTAAGCCATTTCCATCTCTAAATAAGATTCTCCACCTTCACCATCATTCAGATGTCTGTGCAACCTCATTCTTCTTGGGTGCCGAACAAAACCTCAGGACCCACCAAGTGGGGTTACCCAAAAAAGGCTGTCACACTGGCCCCTTGCCCTCACAGGCAGAGGGCAACTTCCCCACAGGACAAGGCAGGGGGCCAACTGAGCTGATAATACACTGCTGTCTGTGGACGGCAGTGCTAAGAGACCACTGTAACACACCCTCTGGGGCTTTGGGGTCACAGGCACTCCCACCTGGACACCTCTGCAGGCCCCTCGTCGTGCGGCCAGCCTCACTTGCTCACCTCACGTGCTCCCTCCTGTAAGAGGTTGAGTATGGCAGGCCAAGTAAACATGACACCACTATTGCAAGTCTGATGAAGGGGTCACAAAAATCATGCATCCACTGGTGTTCAAATAGCCCTGATTTTCACATACATATATTTCTTTACAATTTTTATAAATCAATAATTTTGCTTTTTCTATTTTAATTTTTTTGCAATGTGCTTGTTAAAGAGACAAGTTGTTTTATCCTGTAGTTTCTTAAATTCTGAATCTTGCTGATTGTATCAGTACAGTGATTATATTACAGTTCCACTCTCCCTCAAATTTTCTGTAAACTGGTAGTTGTATGTAAAGGTTTCACTATATTTTGGTTTTTTTTTTTTTTTTTTTGGAAAATAACTTTACAAGTGATATAGAAGAATACACATTAAATGATTTTTCTCTTTTTTTGGTGTTAGCAGTGATTGATATTCATTGCCTAGATTCATTATTTTATTCTTTAGTAACTTGCAAAGTGGTAATGTCCAAATTCTATTTTTTTCTACTTCATTCAGCAGCAATACCTCTGAAAGTTGAAACCTCTCATCTTTAACTTTTTTATTTTATTCACATGTAATTACTAGAGGAAAGGCAAAAAAGTGCTTATTTTTTGTTGGTAGTTTGTGTCTTTTTTTTTTTAACTTTTTCAAGTTTTCAAAATAAGTTGGTTTCCTGGTAAATATCCCAAGATACTCAGCAATTTTTACCATTATTATCTTATGAACTAAATATATTTTATGTGTTGTGATATGTTTCAGATATCTTACTGCTGCTCAATTTTTCCAAATTAGCTAGTGGAAATCTTTTGAAGTTGGCCCCTGAGTCCTTTAGTGCTAAAATAATATTAACCTTTGAAAGTTTTCCTGCTTTGTGTCCTGACAAAATGTTCCATGTACTCATTTTGTATTTTCTTCCCCAGGCTTGGAATAAATTGTTTGCTTAAAGAACACTGGTTCTTTTAGTGAAAGATTGTATTTGGAAAATAAAATCTGATCTTCTGGAAACAAAGGCACATTTTATATGTGACTTTTGGACACAAACACAAAAAACCTCTCCAATTAAAAATGACATTTAAGCAAAAACATGCTTTATTTTTTCTCTTTAGCACAGTAGTCTTTTTTTTTCTTCCTTTGTTTGAGACAGTGTCTCTCTCTGTCACCCAGGCAATCTTGGTTCACTACAACCTCCACCTACTGGTTTCAAGCATTTTTCATGCCTCAGCCACCCAAGTAGCTGAGATTACAGGGTTTACCACCGCATCCAGCTAATTTTTGTACTTTTAGTTGTCACGAGATTTCACTGTGTTGGCCAGGCTGATCTCAAACTCCTGACCTTAAGTGATCCGCCCACCTTGGTCACCCAAAATACTGGGGTGACTGCACCCAGCTACAGTAGTCTTATTCAATGAAAATTTATGATATATATCTCTCTGCAAACTAGGAATACAAAAGAACTTTCTCAAACTGATGAGCATCCATGAAATACTTACCACTAACATTACACTTAGTGGTAAAAGATTGAATGTTTTCCCCTAAGACTTGGGATTCAGGTACTGATGTGCTTACTCAACACTTATATGCAAGATTTTCCTGAATGTACTAATCCGTGCAATAAGGCAAGAATACAAAATTAAAGTACATATTGGGAATAAAATGTAAACTTTTATTCTCAGACAAAATGATCACATACATAAAAATTCCTAACGATTTTACCCAAAAAGTCACAGAAACTAAGTATAGTACAGTCACAGGACACAAGGTCAGTAACAGAGTCAGTGATATTTCTACAAGAAAATGAAATTAAGTGGCATTCTGGGAAAGTCAATACTATAGAGATGAAAAAGGTTAATGATTTCCAGAAATTAAGGAAAGGGAAAGTGATTGATTACAAATGACATGTACTGGGAAAATTTTATGGTAAAGGAATTATTCTATGTGATATTGGGTAGTGAATACATGACTTTCTGTGACTGGGAAAATCCATAGAAATGCAAATCATGAAGAGTGAACTTTAGTGGATGCTAAAAGAAAGCAACCAACCTCTCAGGAGATTCCAGGAAGAAATGTAAACTGTGGCAAATGAATCTAACTGTATTATGAATATATGCTATATCAGAACTAAAAGGAGTGGGGAAACACTGACCTAAATAACTTTGGAAAATGGTGTTTTGGTTGGAGATTTAATACTAAATCTAAAAGAAACTGTACATAAACACATTACCCTAAATGGAAACTCTATTTATCATGATTATATTGGTTAATAAACTTCTGAAACTGCTTTACATGTATACTGGGGTTGAACGATTATGGACAGTGGATGCTGAGAGCCAAGCTTCTCTCGCTGAAAGAAGGAAATTAAAAAGAAGCAAGCGGGCCTGGTGCGGTGGCTCACGCCTGTAATCCTAGCACTTTGGGAGGCCGAGGAGGGCGGATTGACTCAGCTCAGCAGTTCGAGAACAGCCTGGGCAACATGGTGAAACCTCATCTCTACTAAAATACAAAATAAATTATCCTGGAGTGGCGGCATGCACCTGTAGTCCCAGCTACTTGGGAGGTTGAGACAGGAGAATCACTTGAACCTGGGAGGCAGAGGTTGCAGTGAGCCAAGATTGCACCACTGCACTCCAGCCTGGGTGACAAAGCGAGACTCCATCTCAAAAATAAATAAATAAATAGGCAAGGAAGAAAGACTAGAAGCCTGTGGGATACTGAATTACTATCAGAGATACCAGTGTGGATTCATAATTAGCTATATTCATATTTAGATGGATAAATATAGAAACAATTATAAATATGTATGTACACATATGTTAATGTACGTACATGTATTACCTAGCTTTCTCTCCTGAAAGAACCTAGGAACAATGAAACCTTGTAGCAAGGTACATACTCAATGCCCAATAAAAGAAACTTGGCTGCCTTGAAAAAATGGCTGATACTAGGAAAGTGACAGGGAAAATATTATAAAATAAACCTAGAGCACCAGAAAGTAAACAAGTACTTAAATATTAGGCTCAAAATTTTTAAGGACATGCTTTAGAAATAAAAGAATGAAGATTTATAAAATCAAAAGTATGGGGTATGTCAAATGGAGACAGGAGCCAACCTGATAGAGCTCCTTATGGATAAATCTAGAACAATTTGAACAACAACATAAATAATGTAGTATTATGTTATATTCCAACACGTAAGTATCCCTAAGTTTATACTTATATACAAATGATTGAGGAAATATATGAATAGAGGAAAAGAAAAAACATACTTTTCCAGAAAAATTGCATTTAATATATGTAGGCACTTCCCACCTCCTAGCAGATCTTAGTTATCTCCTTGCCTTTCAGAGTGGGCTGACTGATGATATGCTAATAAATGCAGCAATGTGGATGAATCTCAAAAACGTTATATTAAGCAAATGAAGCCAGAACAGAAGGCTACATACTGTATGATTACATTTATAGGAAACCCTAGAAATGACAAATCTAATCTATATTGAGAGAAGTAAAGCAGTGGTTTTCTGGGACTGGGGAGGGAGAAATTAAATGGAAAAGATCACTAAAGTTCTTTTATCAGTGATGGAAATATTTCATATTCTAATTTGGTGGTGGTTACACAAATATATATATATGTGTATATATATATATATATATATATTGCCAGGAGGTGGGAAGTGCCTACATATATTAAATGCAATTTTTCTAGAAAAGTATGTTTTTTCTTTTCCTCTATTCATATATTTATTCAATCATTTGTATATAAGTATAAACTTAGGGATATTTACGTGTTCGAATATAATATAATACATTATTTATTTTGTTGCTCAAATTGTTCTAGATTTATCCTTAAGGAGCTCTTGCAAGTTGGCTCTGGTCTCCATTTGAGATACCCCATACTTTTGATTTTATAAATCTTCCTTGTTTTATTTCTAAAGCACGTCCTTAAAAATTGTGAGCATTATATTTAAGTACTTGTTTACTTTCTGGTGCTCTAGCTTTATTTTATATATATATATATATTTACATTTTTATATTTATATTTATATTTATTATATATATTTATATACTGATAAAAATAAAGACTTAAATGGGTGCATTTCATTGCATGTAAACTGAGTCTTATTAAAGTTGATTAATAATTATTTTTTAGAGCCCCAATGTTCGCTTATTTTGGAAATGGTATATCTTGCTTTAATTTCCTTCTTTGAAGACATGACTATCTCCTTAAAATTTGGGCAGTTGTTCTTTCTTTCATTATTCAAATCTCAGCTACTTCATACAGTCTTTCCAAAAGCTCCAAACCCTCAGTGAACATCTTATCAAAATACTTAATGCACCTGTAATTATTTGATATAAAAATGAAATGTGTAAATTCATCTAAGGACTTTTTACATTTACTAAGATCTATCTTGAGTTATATTTTTGCATTTCTCAATATATTTTAAAATTTATTCTGAATTTCTGTAGTTGTATGGTTTCAGGATTTAGGGTTCTGTTAATACTCAGGTTTTGCAAACAGCAAACAAATGTTCAAGGATTATTTCTAGTCAGTTTTAATGCTGGTTGCTTTCACATATACAGTATTCATAAGAAATAGTAACCACTTTTATAATTTGGGATACTTACAAAAACTGTTCAGGCACTGTTTCAACTCAGAAAACCTGGAACTTGCAATCCCACTTAAACCATTCTTTATTGGCCTATCTCATAAGTGAAATTAATGCGAAGACCAAGGCCCTGTGCCTGTCAATTTATAATCTGCCAAAGTGCCAAACACTCCTTCATCTGATTTTAGAGAGAAAAGGATAAGATTAACGTTGCAACATATCATAAATGATTTTGATTTTTTATGCCAGAATTATATTTTATTAGTTTTTTTTCTTGAAATTTTAAATTATTGAAAAAGTGTTAGGCAAACATTTAATGTATATATTGGGTGTTTCCATATTCACTATTCTCTTTCTATATACATGCTTTAAAAATATTCAAATTCACAAATATAATTTGAAATATAAATTATGGTTCCACAGCTGGTACACAAAATTTGATAAAATGCAGAGATAAATATCACTTTATTATTGAAGAAATGTGTGTAGTAGTTCTCAATCTTTTATGATTGAAATTCACTTTTAAATGTTAAAAGCTGGACACTATATTTGAAAGAATTAAGTAATTCAAAACACCTCTGTACAATTGAGCAATAACTACAATATTGTATTTGCTGCTAGTGTATAACAAAGTCTTATAATGTATATAAATACTCTAGTTACAGCAGTATTCAGTGTGTATTGTTTGTCTATGGAGTCACTTTGAAGGCATGCCACATAACCTCTCTGGGACATTGTTATAAGCATTTATAATGTAAATATATACAACTAAAGGATCTCCTGAAATCTTTTTTATGAAAAAATCATTCTCCAAAAACTAATTTGATCTCTTTTCTCTTTATGTGTACATCTGGTATTTCATTTGTATGAAACTAAGCATATTCAATTCTCATGAAAACAAAATTCTTGAGAAGGGAAGTGGCATGCTCCTGTTTTAAAGTTGTAGCAAAATGCAAATATGCACTGTTTTAGGTTGAATTCTTTTCTCCCTGGTGTGGTTTGGCTCCCTGTCCCTACCCAAATTTCATCTTATGGCTCCCATGATTCCCACATGTTGTGGGAGAGACCTGATGGGAGATTATTGACTCATGGGGTATGTCTTTCCCATGCTGTTCTTGTGATGGTGAATGGGTTTCGTGAGATCTCGTGGTTTTAAAAATGGGAGTTTCCCTGTGCAGGCTTTCTCTTTGCCTGCTGCCATCCATGTAAGATGAGACTTGCTCCTCCTTGCCTTTCACCTTCTGTCATGATTGTAAGGCCTCCTCAGCCACCTGGAATTTAAGTCCAATAAACCTCTTTCTTTTGTAAATTGCCCAGTCTCAGGTAAGTCTTTATCAGCAGCATGAAAATGGACTGATTCAGTAAATTGGTACCAGTAGAGTGGAGTGCTGCTGAAAAGATACCCAAAAATGTGGAAGCAACTTTGAAACTGGCTAACAGGCAGAGGTTGGAACAGTTTGGAGGGGTCAGAAGAAGACAGGAAAAGGTGGAAAAGTTTGGAACTCCCTAGAGACTTGTTGAATGGCTTTGACCAGAATGCGGATAATGATATGAACAGTGAAATCCAGGCTGAGGTGATCTCAGACGGAGATGAGGAACTTGTTGGGAACTGGAGCAAAGGTGACTCTTCTTCTGTTTTAGCAAAAAGACTGGCAGCATTTTGTCCCTGCCCTAGAAAATTGTGGAACTTTGGACTTCAGAGAGATAATTTAGGTTAGGGTATCTGGCAGAAGAAATTTCTAAGCAGCAAAGCATTCAAGAGGTGACTTGGGTGTTGTTAAAAGCATTCATTTTTATAAGGGAAGCAGAGCATAAAAGTTTAGAAAATTTGTAGCCTGACAATGCGATAGAAAAGAAAACCCCATTTTTCTGGTGAGAAGTTGAAGTATGCTGCAGAAATTAGCTTAAGTCATGAGCAGTCAAATGTTAATCCCCAAGGCAGTGGGGAAAATGTCTCCACGGCACGTCAGAGATCTTCATGGTACCTCCTTCCATTACAGGCCTGGAGGCATAGGAATAAAAAGCGGTTTCACGGGCCAGGCCCAGGGTCCCTGTGCTGTGTGCAGCCTGGGGACTTGGTACCCTGCATGTCGGCTGCTCCAGCTGTGGCTGAAAGGGGCCAATGTAGAGCCTGGGCCATGGCATCAGAGGGTGCAAGCCCCAAGCCTTGGCAGCTTCCACGTGGTGTTGAGCCTGAGAGTGCACAGAAGTCAAGAAATGGGGATTTGGAATCTCCACCTAGATTTCAGAAGATATATGGAAATGCCTGGATTCCCAGGCAGAAGTTTGCTGCAGGGGCAGGGTCCTCCTGGAGAACCTCTGCTAGGATAGTGCAGAAGGGAAATGTGGGGTCAGAGCTCCACACAGAGTCCCTACTGGGGCTAGTGGAGCACTGCCTGGTGCAGCTGTGAGAAGAGGGCCACCATCCTCTAGACCCCAGAATGGTAGATCTTCCCACAGCTTGCACGGTGCACCTGGAAAATCTGCAGACACTCAATGCCAGCCTGAGAAAGCAGCCAGGATGGGGGCTATACCTTGCAAAGCCACAGGGATGGAGCTGTCCAAGGCTGTGGGGGCCCACCTCTTACATCAGTGTGACTTGGATGTGTGACATGGAATCAAAGGAGATCATTTTGGAGCTTTAAGATTTGACTGCCCCGTTGGATTGTGGACTTGCATGGAGCCTGCAGCCCCTTTATTTTGGCCAATTTCTCCCATTTGAAATGGCTGTATTTACCCAATGCCTGTACCCCCATTGTATCTAGGAAGTAACTTACGTGCTTTTGATTTTGGAGGCTCATAGGTGGAAGGTACTTGCCTTGCCTCAGGTGAGACTTTGGACTGTGGACTTTTTGGTTAATGCTAAAATGAGACATTGGCGGACTTTGGGAAGGGATGATTGGCTTTGAAATGTGAAGACATGACATTTGGAAGGGGCCAGAGCAGAATAATGAGGATAATGTGGTTTGGTTCTGTGTCCCCACCCAAATCTCATCTTGTGGCTCTCACGATTCCTGTGGGTTGTGGAAGAGACCTGGTGATGATTGAATATGTGGGTGGATCTTTCCCGTGCTCTTCTCCTGATGGTGAGTAGGTCTCATGAGATCTGATGATTTTAAAAGTGGAGTTTCCCTGTGTAGGCTCTCTCTTTTCCTGCCGTCATCCCTGTAAGACGTAACTTGTGCCTCCTTGCCTTTCACTTTCTGCCATGATTGTGAGGTCTCCCCAGCCACATGGAACTGTAAGTCCAATTAAACTTTGTCTTTTGTAAATTGTCCAGTTTCAGATATGTCTTTATCAGCAATGTGAGAATGGACTCTCCCAATAATATGTTGATGTCGTAACTCCTAGTAACTGTGAATGTGACCTTATTTGGAAATAGGAACTTTGCAGATATAAAGTTAAGATAAGGCTATTAGAATGGTCCTGGATTCAGTATAACTGGTGTCCTTATAAGAAGGGAAATTTGGACACAAAAACTCATATGAACAGAGAGAACACAGTGGAAGTGTGTGCTGGAGTGATGTATCTACAAGCCAAGGAACTCTAAAGTTTGCCAAGTACAGACACTAGAGCCTTCAGGAAGGGCATGGTCCTACTGACACCATGATTCCACACTTCTAGTCTTCAGAACTCTGATAAAATAAGCTTCAGTTGTTTTAAGCCACCCAGTTTTGGGTACTTGGTAATGGCAGCCCTAGCAGACTAATGAACTCACAATTATTATTATTCTCTATTTAAACTTAAAAAGATTCACAGAGGAATAACATGGCCATTTACTGTGTTAACAAGTAGATGGCATTTTTTTATGTTACTCTAGAAAAAGGGCATTACATTGGTTTTGTTTCCTGTAACAAATTACCACAAATGGGATGACTTAAAACAACATAAATGTTTCCCCTACAATTCTGGAGGCCAGAAGTTTAAAACCAAGATGTCAGCAGAACCATACTCCCTTTGATGGTGACTGTCAGCATTCCTTGACTTGGGGACACATCACTCCAATCTCTGCCTCCATGGTCACATGGCCTCCTCTTAAATCTGTCAAACATACCTTGGCCTCATTCTTACTTGTCATTGGGTTTAGGGTCCATATGGATAATTCAAGATAAACTCATCCTCTCAGAATCCTTAATTTACTTACCACATAAGTTTTGCTATATAAGTTAACATTTGCTATTTTACCATTCACAGGTTCTGGAGATTAGAACATGGGCATATCTATTTTGAGACTAACTTTCAGCCCACTGCAGCATACAACTCTTAATACATAAAGATTAACCACATCCATGCTTCTAATTCTTTAATGATATTATTAAACATCCACCATATTTTCCAATGTACAGTTTCTTATAAGAGTAATTTAAACCTAAAAATGACTACCAAATGCAATAACTATATTCTTTTTTAAAATTGAATATTTTGCACATTTTCTGCAATGAAGATACAGAATGCTTAAAATTGTAGTTTTATTAGTTACATTTTTTAATCACCCAAATGTTATAGATTACATTAAGCTTCACTTTTGGCTTTGTATATTGTATTAATTTTGATAAATGTATAATTACATATACCTACTTTATGGTATCATAGAGAATACTTTCCCTGCTAGAATAAAAGTCCTCCTTGTTTCACCTTTTCATCCGTTAATCCCCTAAACCCTTGGAAATCATAGCTCTTCTTACTATCTCTATACTTTTGCCTTTTCCACAACTTAATATAGTTGGAATCATATAGTATATATCCTTTCATATTGGCCTCGTTCACTTAGTAATATTCACTTAAGTTTCCTCCATGTCTTCTCATGGCTTGATAGCTCATTTCTCTTTAGCAATGAATAATATTCAATTGTCTGGATGTACAAGAGTTTATTCATTCACTTACTGAAGGACATTTTAGTTGCTTCCAAGTTTTGGCAATTATAAACAAAACTACTTGGAACATCCATGTACAGATTTTTATATGGATTTTAAGTTCATTTGGGTAAACACCAAGGAATGTAACTATTGTATTATAAGAGTAGGTTTAGTTTTGTAAGAAGCTCTCAGACTGTATTCCAAAGTGAGTGTAACATATTGCATTCCCACCAGAAATAAATGAGAGTTCCTGTTCCTCCATATTCTCATCAGCATTTGGTAATCAGTGTTATGGATTTTGACCATTCTTATAGGAGTGTAGTGATATCTTGTTGTTATCATTTGCATTTCCCTGATGACATTTAAGGTGTTGTATCTTTTCTCATGCTTAGTTACCTCTTGGGTAAGGTGTCTGTTAAGGTTTTTGGCCCCTTTTAAAAACTGATTGTTCATTTTCTAGTTGTTGAGATTTAAGAGTTAGTTGTATATTTTGGTTGGTAGTCATTTATCAGATATGTCTTTTGCAAATATTTTTCCCAGTTTGTGGCTTGTCTTTTCATTTTCTTGAGCAGTGTCTTTTGGAGAGCAAAAATTTTTCATTTTGATGAATTCCAGCTTATCAATTATATTGTAATGTTGATGCTGTATCAAATAAACCATAGGCAAACTTAAGGTCATCTAGATATTCTACTATGACATCATCAAAAATTTGACAGTTTTGCATTTAACATTTAAGTCTATGATCCATTTTGAGTTAAATTTATGAAGGTTGTGAGATCTGTGTCTAAACTTCTTTTTTTTTTGTATTTGAATTTCCAGTAGTTTCATCACCATTTATTGAAAAGATTATCTTTTTCCAGCATATTGCTTTTGCTCTTATGTAAAAGATCAATTGATTGTACTTATGTAAGTTTATTTCTAGGTTCTCTGTTCCACTGGTTTGTCTGTTCTTTCACCAATACCAATGTTTTAATTACTGTAGCTCTATACTAGGTCTTGAAATTGCTTAGTATCAGTCCTTCAACTTTGTTTTGCCCCTTCAATATTGTGCTGTATATTCTGAGTCTTTTGCCTTTCCATATAAAATTTAGAATCAGCTTGTCAATATCCACAAAATAACTTATTGGCATTTTTATTGGGATTCTGTGGAGTCTTTACATCAAATTAGAAAGAACTGACATCTTGACTATATTGAGGCTCCCTATTCATGAACATGGAATATCTTATTTATTTAGGTATTCTTTGATTTCTTTTGACAGCATTTTGTAGTTTTCCTTATGTAGATCATATACTTCTTATCAGATTTATGCCTAATTATTTCATTTCTGGGTGTGCTAATGTAAATAGTATTGTGTTTTTTTATTTTAAACTTTACTTGTTCATTGATAGTATACAGGAATAAATTGGCTGTAGTATATTAACCTTCTACCTGGCCTTTTTGTTATAGTCACTTATTAGTTCTAGGAGATTTTTATTGATCCTTTTTAGATTTTCTATTTGGACAATCATGTTATTTATGAACAATGACAGTTTTATTTTTTCTTCTTAATAATTGCATGTTTTAGTTTTTATTTTTTAGCCTTGTTGCATTAGCTAGAATTTCCACCACAATGTTGAGAAGTGGTGAGAGAAGACATCTTTTCCTTGTTTATTATCTTTATGAGAAAGCATCAGTTTTTAATCATTAAAACTGTAGGTTTTCTATAGATATTCTTTATCATAGTGAAGATGATTCTTACGTTACTAAGTTTTCAGTAATGAATGCTGGACTTTTTCAAATGCTTTTTCTGCATCTATTGATATGATTATATTATTTTCCTCTTTAGACTATTGATGTAATGAATTCATTGATTTTAAAATGGTGAACTAGACTTTCACACCTGGAATTAATCTCACTGGTCATAATTTAAATTTATAATTATTTTTATACATCATTGATATTATCTGCTAATATTTTATTGATTTTGTTGCATCTATGATTATAAGACATATGTGATATGTAGCTTTTGTTTATTTTAATATCCTTGTCGGGCTTTGATATTAAGGAAAAGCTAGCTTCATAGAATGAGCTAGAGACTATTTCCTCTGCTGCTGTCTTCTGAAAGAGATTTCAAATAACTGATGTAATTTATTCCTTCAGTGTTTAGTAGAATTCATCAGTGAACACAGCTGGGCCTGGTGTCTCCTATTTTGGAGGATTAGTAATTATTAATTCAATTTCATCATTAAGTTAATTTATTTAACAGCCTATTAAGAGTCTCCTTTTTAAAAAATAGTAAACTTTCTTGTATCTTTTTTTTGGTGGGGGGTAGATGGAGTTTCACTCTTTTTGCCCAAGCTGGAGTGCAATGGAGCGATCTCGGCTCATTGCAACCTCTACCTCCCTGGTTCAAGTGATTTTCCTGCCTCAGCTTCTCCACTAGATGGGATTATAGGCACCTGACACCATGCCCAGCTAATTTTTTTTTTTTTTTTTTTTTTTTTAGTAGAAATGGCATTTCACCATGTTGGCCAGGCTAGTCTCAAACTGTTGACCTCAGGTGCTCTGCCCGCCTCAGCTTCCCAAAATGCTGGGATTACAGGTGTGAGCCACCACACCCAGCCTCTTGTATCTTTTTGATAGGAGGTGGCTTTATAATTTTGGAACAAAGTGCCCACTGGTGTTAGGCTTTCACTCAACTAGAAAACTAGGAGATAAAACTGTTATCTTTTTGTAACTGCTTTTTAAAGGGATGACTCCAAGGTCTTTGAGGAAAACATTCTTGTATAGTAAAATGGACAAAAGGTTTTCGAATAGGTTTACATACAACTGAAATGGCTGAGAAAGAATTTATACTTTTTTGTTGTTGTTGTTTTTAAAGTAAATGTTCAAAGAAAAGTGAGATCAGTGTCAAGAGTTAGAAAGAAGCCCGTCTAAAGTTTAGCCCAGCTGAGGGTAGTATTAAGAGCATCTAGGAGTCAGGTGTTGTGATAGGAGCCTATAGTCCCAGCTACTGGGGAGCATGAGGTAGGAGGATGGCTGGAACCCAGGAGTTCAAGATTGCAGTGAGCTATGATCCCACTTTAAGCCTGGGCAACAGAGTGAGAGCCTCTCTCTCTGGGAGGGGTGGTGGGGAAAACATCTTAGGGCATCCTGGGCAGTGTCTTAAGTCCCCTTCTCATACACACACACACACACACACACACACACACACACATACACACACACATACACATACATACACAAATTGCTTAAATATAGGTAATAGTAATGTTTTTTTGAAGAAGACATTATTTACTAATGAACATTGTTTACAAATAATTTAAAATATTATTTAAAATAATCTGTGAATATCTACTAAAATGCTCCTAATCTATTTTAAATCATTGTAAAATATGGATTTTAGCTTATGCTGAAAATTCAAAAATAAAATGACCGTCAATACTGGATATTATTTCCAAATTGAAAGATAGACACCTACTTATAAAAGAGCAGGAGTAAAATTAACAAACCTACATTTGAGAGATTAGTCTCTTAGGCTAAAACTTTTAAAAATCCTTATGTTTGCATAAATATTATAAACATGTTTGAATCCAAAGGTGACTTCCTGAACTGAAAGTTAGCTGTGGTCAGCACTTATTTTTGCTTTCACTGAACAAACTTGTCTCACTAGAAGCAAACTTGTGGTATGCAAATTTATCTTATATGACAGTTTTTTTTTATTTTTAGCTTATCAATCCATGGAAACAACAATTTTCTGATTCATATAAAACTTTTGAGAGCCACATAAGCATATTCAGAAAAATTGTATGGATAAGAAAACCCTTGCCAAATAATATTTGTGATAGCAATAGCACTGAAACAGAGATATATAGATACAACTTACTTTGAAATGAGGACAGCTGTCAAAATTAAATAAAAAGAGAAAGTACATTTTTGAGTTCTTTGATATTTTCTGAACTCCAAATGCCCTTACATGTTCCCATTTCTGTCATATGTGTACTTCTTCAGCAGCAAATAAATTGGCCAACATAAGGAAGTGCTTGGAAAAACATGACATGTCTATTCTGAGCATTAGTTAGGAGGACAGCTATTTCCAAACAGAAAAGATGGATTTGAAAGTTTTTGTCTTGAATCATAGAATGCATTATGTGTCTATTTAGAAGCGTTTCAATTTAATTGTCTCAAAGTCTGAGGAAAAAAAGAAAACATTATTCAAACATATATTTAAAATGCTCTAATTTTATTTTCTTTAGCACATTCCTAAAATGTGTATGCATCCTATCTTAATCATCTCACTTTCTTTTTATTTCATTTTATTTTTTTGGAGACAAGTTCTCATGCTTTCATCCAAGCTGGAGTGCAGTGCTGTGATCATAGCTCACTATAACCTCAAACTCATGAGCTCAAGTGATCCTCCCACCTCAGCTTCCCGAGTAACTGGGACTAAAAGCCCACAACACCGTACCCAAATACTTGTGGGTGTGTGTAAAGAGAGGGTCTCACTATGTTGCCCCAAATGGTCTTCAACTACTGCCCTCAAATGATCCTCCCTTTTGAGCCTCCCAAGGTACCGAGATTACAGGCGAGAGGCAACAACTCACCCTGCCTCATATTGTTTCCTGACCTAATTGAATGAGCATGAATTTATTCATGAGCCAAGACTGAAATTTAGCTTGACTTATTTGTTTGTTTTTCCAGTGAGAAGAAACATGTATTAAGGATAAGAATGTAGCTGTGTTTTTTTTTATCTTTTAATGTTTATTAATTGGCCAAAACTATATTCCAAGTTGACGGAAAAGGATGAAATAGGAATTGAATTATTCATTTCACACGCATATCATCCTGAAAGTGCTGAAATATACAGAAAGCAATAGATGAAAATTAAAATATCTATAATTTAATCTTTCCATAGACTTCTAACATGACTCAGAAAATAGTCAAATAAATAATTCCATATATTTTATTTACACACTCAATATTTTTCCTGAAACAACACATAAATTTCATTAAATCCAGTCTCAAAACAGTAATTTAGTAATACATAACTATTCAAACTCACATCCAATGTCTTTACAGCTTCTTTTGATGGACTAGAACTGAAGAAAGTACTGAGTATATAGTAAAAACAACAAAGTGCGTAGTGATGGTATAACAAAATGATCTGAGATGTGTTTTATTTCAACAAATTAATTAGTGATCTATATGTAAGATGGAACATCAAGTACTAGGTGAAGGTATGGCTTTTTTACATGGAACTGAGTATATCTTTGGGTGAGACTGGAAATATGTGGGGATTATGTGCACAATTACGCATTACACAGCTCAATCAATATAGACAGACAACGAACACATGCAGCAAAGGCATGAGCTAGAGAAATTGTATACTTGATTTTTTGAAAGTTTTATGGAAATATTTCCATAAAATAAAATTACCAAGTGCTATATAATAAAATAACCTTAAACAATTTGATATAGTAATGTTTTAACAGATTTATTTAACTCAATTACTATCTACCTGAATCTGAGATGAAGCACAGCTTACAAAATTATTGGGGTAATCACCAAACTAACAAGCTGAACAGCACACCTGTATATAGGAATATGAAAAATTAAATCGGTGTGAAAGCAAAGGGTGACACATGAACATCTGTACATTTCCTTAGGTGGTTTAATACATACATGATAAGAGAATCATATAATTTCAAAATTTTGGTGATATTACCTGAAGAACTAGATAAAAATAAAAAGATTTCTTCCAAAAATAATTGGTGATCTTTTATTTTTATCCTGATGCTCTGTTGTGTTGTTTGTTTTACTGAAATAATAGAATAAATCTCAGCCTAGAGGCTATTGTACAAGAAAATGCAAGGCAAAGATGTGAAGGATGGTAAAATAAAATAATCATCCCACAATTTAGTAACAGAAAGTTACTTCACTTTTCTAGATACTTCTTAGATGTTTCACATTAATCAGAGCATAATACGGTTTAGTCTCTGAAAATATATTCTATATTCATATCTTCAAAATGAGGATTTTAGAGAGATTCAGTATTTGATACGTTCTGAATGGTGTGCAATCCATAAGTCAAAGTTTTCTCTTCAAAATATACCTAATATATTTGCTCTGCTACTGTCAATATATGTGAGTAATGCAAAAATACTTAAAAATTGTTTTAAACTGCATATAAATGCAAATAATCACAATGTAAAGTATGGTTTCTATAAGTATTTTTCCTTAAATCTTTCTTTGATTGACTGCCATAGGCAGAAAACACATTCTAGTAAGAGAATAATAGCCTCTTTCTGTTGAAAAGATAAATGCATGCAAAACAATATTAATTACACCAAGTGGTAATTATACAGGATCATTATATATAACAAAGAATTTTCAAGAAATATGGTTCCTATACCTTGCTCTCTTTCTCACATTTATTAGCTTATTAAATAACTTTATGTCACAGTAAAATTCCTTTTATTATCCTAAAGGAGAATTGAGAGTTTTAACAATTAGTTGTAAATTGATTCAGTTTCAAAACTGTAGATGTTAATGCAATTATGCAAAATTAGCTATAAAATGAACCAAATGCTCAAAAATAAATGTAAAAGAAATACTCTTATCAACAGATAGAAAGTTAGTGATCACTATTAAACTCCACAGAAAATAAATTATAACATCAAGGGAATATTACTTCTCTAGAATACCAACATTATTTTTTATTTTCTATTCCATGATAATTTTTAAAAGCAACTAACTTGCTAAAATTCATTCAACAAATATTTAATGTTTACCTGGAAGGTAAAAATAATTATTGGATGTATTTGTTTACTTCTTATCAGAATAAATATGTCTAACCAAATCCTTTAAGGAATTTCAAAGATTCCTTAATGACATGTATTAAGTAAATGTAAGAGAAGCCCAGTGGAGACACGTTTCATTGACCTTGGCCCTCTGTCTGAGTTCTAACAGGTTAGAAGGGTTATGATTTTTATAATATCAACCACTGGGGGTAGTCAAGCTACCACCTCAACAACTCATTGTTGTTCACTGTTGATCTTATTTAATTGTTAACTCAGAGTGAAGTAAAACAATAGACATTTTGATTTAAACTTACATTTTATTTGATTTGTATTTTTTTCAAGATAAGATACCACAAAATATGTCCTTGTGAAGGGTGATAATTAAAAGAGACTGGACTAGTAAATTTAATATTGACATTTCTTCACATGCTGAATAAAAAAGTAATATATGATGAAAAATAGAAAAATAAATAAATTGGTCAAGTTTTATTCCCTAAAAATTCAGTTGAGAAGAGATTCATAAGAGATAAATGACAAAAAATTAGAGAGTGGCCTCTTAAAATCTAAGGCAAATATCATTGTAAACTGAATAATCACTTCAGCAAAGAAAGATTTTGAAGATACTCCTTCTCAATATATTTACTGCTACTGGCAGTGCATGTTTGTCATCATTTCGAATATTGTAAGTGTCCTAACTGCCTCAACACCAAAATCTACTCATAAATTCTATCCTTGCTCCCCATTTCTCTCGGATTAAGTACCAATTCTTTAGTACACTACATAATTCAGCAACTCATATGTGTACTTATCCCTTTAAGTATATATCTTGTGTGAACAAATGTGAGCTTGAACGAGCCAATCTTTCAAGATGGATCCCAAGTGGCTAAATATACCTAAATTTAAAATAGAGCTAAGCAGCCATTTCCTGAATAGAGGTCACGTAAGCTCTAAGTTCCCTGAAAACAAACACCTCCATTCAACTTTGAGATTTTCAGAGGTCACCTGAACTAACCAATTAGAGCTCACCCAAACCAATCAATCAGACTTCACCTGCTTTCACCAACCTGGGCTCCAACATATCAACCACTTGGAACTAAGCAAGTTTGAATCCTTCATTTGCATAACAGACCTGATTGAGAACCTGGCCAGGAACATTTGCCATAGAACCTGAACCCTCCCTTTGTTCTTTGGCAGATGCCTTCATTTTACACCCCAGGCTAGATCTCCTGGGTTCTCAAACTGTTCACTGAAATAAGGTCTGTTTTCTCCAAATTCCCTTTCCTTTTGTTTATGCTTGCTACACATTTTATCTCTACCTCTACCACCCTCGATGCCCAATGCAAGTCATGCCCTGGTCTTAAAACATGTCTTCTCAATTTTTGAATCATTCGTTGTATAGCCTTGGGATTTTTCACACTATTCTATTAGGCAAGAATATCCCAACATTCCTATTTTTACATAAAGCACCTCTCAAATTTCAATGTTTAGCAACAGCATATGTCCTCTGTGATTGATGCTTTTTGAGGCTGCACTTACAGAATTAAGGGCTTCCTCCTTAGACTTTTCACTTTACTTTATCTGAATTTCTATCATAGCATTTAATGACACTGCTGATTTTAAAATAGCATTTTTTATGTACTAATCAGTATACTTTCTCAAGCTGGGATTCCATTTTATTTGCTTTTCTACCCACAGTGTCTGACACAGGTTGGATGCTTACTAAAGACAATGAATGAATAGGACTGAGCTAAACACTAAAGAAAAAGAAGGAAAGTATTCCAGATGTGAGGAAACAGGAAAGGGACTGGTTATTACAGTATAATTGCTCACAGAAGAAAAGAAAAAAAATTTACACCTCCTCTGCAGTTTAGAATGGTTCACCAAAATTGATTCGGAAAGGATGTCAAGTCATGGAATAAATTTTTCGTGTTTGATTACAGCTTCCCTATCACTATTACCTTTGGGGATCTGAGAGCAAGTGCAATGTGTATGAGAGTACAAAGTATCAAAATGTATTTTCCATTCTTATAGCCAAATTGTAGTCAAGCCCACATGACCTCATGGCTAGATTACACAAGAGTCTGTAATTCAAGTCTCTTCTCCACTTCAAGGCATTTTGGGCGATTAGGACCTGATTATTTTCACCACTTACTCCATTATAATGTCAATCCCTTGGTTATGTCATATTTTGAATGACATACAGTAAAACTCTCCCTACTCAGACAATCACTAGTGTTTTTTGTTTTTTGTTTTTTATTTTTCTGTAATGTAAATTTCCCTTTAATGTAAATTAAGGCCTTGATTCCAGAGACTTTAAGTAGTCTCAACTAGGGTTAATAATTGTATATTTAAATTAAAATAAGTGTTTTTCACACATGTCTATGATGAAAGAAAGTGTACTTAAAGACCAACAGATAGACAAGTCACCCCAAACATCCAATGTCCTATCACCCACTGCTTTGCTCTCAAACTATTTACTCTAATGAAGTAGGATGAATCACACCATTACATATTAAAACCTGCATGTTGTATTAGCCTCTTGGACAACTTTTCATTTTGTTAGTACTGCCCCAACAATGTGTGATTTTAAAGTTAGGAAACCCAACTTTGAATTCATATCCAGAATCTACTACCTGCATTTCCTGTGGGAATCCCAGTTTCCTTACTTTTAACTTGTGCAAATTAAAAAAGATAATGCTAGGGAAACATCTAGTGAAGTATAGGTTTTAAATGGACATTAGTTGCTTTTCCCTTCATCTACCTGTGCAGATTTGCAAGCCCTTAGACAACAATTACTCTTTGCACATTGATTATCTCCAACTTTATAATGTCTTTGACACAGGATTCGAAAATGCAGGACTGCTAAAGACTGCTCAAGCTATACACTTCCCTGTCTAGGTAGTATCTTTCATAGAGTTGGAGAGAATAGTCCTTTCTATCTTTTTGAGGCTCAGCTATACATTCATAGATGTAGTTGGAGCCCAGCAAACTGTGTATATGGTAATTACCTAATGTGTGTATTTGTTGGGATAAACACTTAAACTTTTGACCAAATATAATAAGTGGTCAACATTTTGAGAGAAAAATAAAAGGAGTGCTTCTTTATCTTGTGTGCTTTCATCTCACTTAAAATTTTATACTTGGAAGAAAACATCTGATATGGTTTGGTTCTGTGTCCCCATCCAAATCTCATTTCAAATTGTAATTCCCAATGTTGCGGGAGAGAACTGGTGGGAGGTGATTTGATCATGGGGCTGAAAATGTCTCCCTTGCTGTTCTTATGATAGTGAATGAGTTCTCAAGGTACCTGCTTGTTTAAAACTGTGCAGCTCTTCCCCCTTCACTCTCTCCCCTGCTCTGCCATGGTAAGATGTACTTTCTTCCCCTTCACCTTCCACCATGATTGTAAGTTTCCTAAGGCCTCCCAGCCATGCTTCCTATATAGCTAGCAAACTGTGAGTCAATTAAACCTCTTTTCTTCCCAAATTACCCAGTTTCAGGGAGTTCTTTATAGCAGTGTAAGAACAAACTAATACAATATCTTCTTCATTCTATTTTCAGAGTTTATTGTTAACCTAGCCAGAGAGATTAATAATGCAGGTTAACAACCTTGCTGTTATTTAGGAAATGTCTCATAGAAGAATCAGTAACATGACAAATGCCTTTTGAGATGGTACTGGTACTAGCCAGCACAGTGGTGGACATGTGCGTTAACATCTTGTAGGACACATTTGAGATGTGTATGCTTTTGTCTTTGACATGATTATGATAGCACAGTGACATGGAGTTGTTACATTTTATTTTCTTCAACTATTACTTTTATTTTTGTTTACTATGGGTCAATGGCATAACAATGTGTTTATTGTTGGAAGGCAAAAGATAATAATCAGTTAGCAAACACTGCCGCTTTTTGAGTTTCCACTAGGATAGTCAGATGCTCAAATGTCATTTAAGTGCCAGAGTACACATCAAAGAAGCATTAGTTTAACTATTTGGGATATGTGAGGATAAAAAATGTCTATGACAGTACTGTTAGTTGTCAATGCTTAAATCAAAATGAAGTGAATTTTTTCCTGAAAGAAATTTTACCAGAAGTCTTTGTGTTAAACAATGGCGTTAGATACGGGCATACCTGTTTTGCAAAGAGAATTCAACTGTTGGTTTTGGAAATATTATGTATGTATACACACCATATATATGTGTATATGTACTGTATATATAGAGATGCACACAAATATATGTGTGTCTGTGTGTGTGTGTGTATATATATGTATATATATATATATGTGTATATATATATATATATGTTTCTCATTCAGAGTTTAGATTCCCTCTCCTGTTCCTAATTGGCATTCTGATGAGGCAAATAAAATTAACTAATTCCTTAAAATAAACCAACAGACACCTTCTGGTTCACTGTTTTCTTGAATGGTTTAACCTCTAAAGAATAGTGTTGTAATTTTATAATTGTAGCTGGTTTAATTGAACAAGTTAAGATTGGAATTATGCATTTTAAATATGTGACAAGACTCATCAGTGAAGTTTGTATTTAATAATGATTTGTGTGGAGGCAAAAATGCTGAACACAGTGCTTTTGGCCTTTGACTAAGTGCAGTATACAGTAATAGCTCAGTAAGTGCTTGTCTCTTTCAGAGATGAGTCTGAGAAGAAATTCCATTTAAAATGTGAACAAGGGTGTAGAAAGCTATTTTGAAAGTGGAGATTTTGAGAAATAAGCTTGTCAGCTGTTCTCCTGACAGCCCTCCTGAATGAAATTTCCACTGTAACTGTTATATAGGCTATCTACAAATGGTTTTTATTTTTCAAGTACGAGTAATTCATTGCTTGGGAGCCTGAAAGTGAGAAAAAAATTACCAAAATGAGTTTTATCAGGGGCTATAAACAGATTATTGTATTGTACATAAACATAAATCAGCCTGTGACTAGATGTCAGTTTAGAGAGTTAAAGGATATAATGTTGATTTTTTTAATGCACCACCATTATCCTAGAGCTTTATTTCAATCTTCTCATTAAAATTACAAATTGTGCCATTTAAACTCTGTAGAAAAATGTTGTATAACTGACAGCAGAATAAGGAAAGATAGTAATCAAATCATGCTCATTTTTCTTTTCTCTAAAGGTTTCTCTAAAAGAAAAAATTCTCACACATTATGCTTCTAGCTTAGTCATCCATGGTTACTTCATGGCTTATATTGGTATAAGAAAACACTACACAGATTTTATTTAACTTATTATTTAAAAGTTCATCAGCTCTAAGTGTTGCATATTAAAGAACTGAGGTTCTCAAACTCCTTATTTACATCAGTCAATATTAACAAGAGAAATTATTCTTATATAAATAAATTTGCCAATAGTAATTACACTCATTATTGCAGAGTGCTTGTAAGCCTCAGCTGAAATAATAAATATGAAATTATTTTTGTACTGTAAACATTAATAATAATCTAAATGTTAAGTTACTGTTTTCATAATCATCAGCTCTTGTAGCCATTATAATATCATTTTTAGTTCTATAAAACCAAACAGAAAATAGATATGATTGTAGCAAAAATAATAAGAAAAGTACATCGAAAAGAAAAATAAAGAATAATTATGTAAACAGGACATGCCGGTTATGAAAAAAAAATTTACTTTCTATAAAAACTTAAAGGGCCCAAAATATCAGATTTTCTCCTTTTTTTCCTCTGTACACTGATAATATAGTTGTCTTCACATATATCAATATTTAAATTAGAGTATGAGTTACTTGATGGCATGTTCAGATCCTGTACTACTTTTACACTCTGAGTGCATGCCAGGCTAATGACATGTTGTCAGCACCTGCTGGGCATTTGTTGAATCCATTGTATTGGTCATCACTAGGACACAGGGATAGCACAGAATGGACTTTTGTGCCAAATAAGAAAATGTGAGCACTCTGAGAAGACAATTAGATAATAGGCTGCTTCCTTCAGGCTAGTGTAAGAGTGCCAGAGCTCATTGTTTGGAAGGTGGATCTCATTCTTCTTTCTAGGTCATCTTTGTATAGACCAGCGCAGAGCACAGCATGCTAGACATATGCAGTTGCCCTGGTTATCATTTTGCTTTGCCTCTTCCTGAAGGAGTATCTAAGGTACCCAGTCGCTGTGGGACGATAAGGGCCTAACTTGAGTGGGGGCCTTGCTTCAATCTGCACCACTACTCCTGTCATAAAGATAGGAGAAGTTTGTTTCTCCCTTAGATACCTGTCAATTAACAAATCCAAGTGACCTAGTCACATGGACTAACCCCACTTAACATCCCTCCTCCGCACCTTTCCCTTAGCACACCCCTACCTCTTGCTTCAGGGAAGTTGCACTTGGTTCAGAATTCTCTTTCCTATTGTGCTCCTGAATAAAATAAATAAAATACAATAGGAATAAAATTCCTACTATATTCCTGAATAAAATGTGTTTTTACTGTTTTATCTGTTGTCCAGTTTTGTTTATCTTTGACATGGGTCAATCCATGTTAGGCAGAGCAGTAGGTAGCTTGCATGTAAGCAATAATCACAGAAGGCACTGTTGGCTCCTGCATCGTTCCAAATGGTATGCTAGCATTGTTACTGTTTACCATGTATTGACTATGAGATAAACACAGTAAATTAGAAAAGAAATGTGGATTTTCAAATTTTAATACTTATATTATAAATACAAATTTTGTGTGCAGTGAAATGTAACTTGAAAAGTTTCCATCTCTCCCCAGTCATAGCCTTTTTTCGCTGGGCATGGGGATAGTGTTTTGGCTAAGACTTCAAGCTGAAGATTGAGCTTTAACATTTTCACGGAGAAATGAAAAACACCATCTTAAAGGTTCCAAACATGGTAATGGATGTGAATTCACAGTTTTCTGTAATGATATAAAAAATACTGTAGTTTATAATTTAGTTCATGTAGCAGGTATTTTTAATCACTCACCTGTCACAACTTCAAGACAAGATTATTATTGTTTTCATGGTACTTAAATATATTAAGTCAAAAGAGAGTTTGAGAAATGAATAATATTTTTCATTTAAAATACTATTACAGTTATTTTGGTTAAAATTTGCAGTGGTATAATTTAGTAATATTATGACTATGTGACCACAATCTTCATTAAAAAAAGATTTGCTGACCATTTCAGGATAGTAAAAGCTCTTAAGATTTACCATATCATCCCAGCTATGTGGGTTGAATTTTCAGTAAGAAAGTACATTTATCAGAATTTTAACCAACAGCGACTAGAAAATTTTTCCCCAGAGTCTAATTTAAAATTAACATGGATATGTATAATGGAGACAAGATTTGTATGAATTTTAGATCCTTCAATTATATTCTGTGCATTTTAACAAATGTTTTTGGCTGCATGCCTTCAAATATCCCACTTTCTACCATTAGAGGCTCTTCATAAAAAAGTTGAAGCAGGGAATTTATTGGATTATTAGTTAGTTAGCCTTAAATTTATTTATGGAATTTAATATGATCATCTATTTAGTTTCATGTTAAACTTTGTGAATTTTGTAGACTTATTTTATACTAACTTTTAATTTTTACACTGCTATAACACATTCTCATAAGCTTACTTTCTCAACATTTTGCCATAGTCAAATTCAAATTCTTATATTACATTGTTACTGGGTAGAATGTGTGAGACCATATGGATATGCAAATTACTGATTTATTGGCACTGGATGTGAATAAAACACTGGGAAAAGCAGTAGGGATGTGCTGTACCTCCCAAACCTTTGGAGTGCCTCGTTTTGCATTTCATTCTTGGTTGCACAAAGCTTCACTCATTCCCATCAGGGGTTCTGCTACTTGATAGACATAGAGAGGAAACAGTGCTTCTAAACACTTTTTTTCATTTACATGTGATTTTTTTGTCACCATACTAGCATTATCATAATGTGAGTGCTCTGGCACCTGAATAATTTTAAGTGATTCATGTGTTATTCAGTTTTTATGGGAAAATTAACTTGATCTCTCCAAACTCTATCTTCTTTGTAGGTATCCCACTCACATAGCTAACAGAATGCAAAATATTCTGCATGTAAGCTGGATTCTTATCTAATCTATCTCTGTCTTTATCCCAACGTATACATCGATATACTATTTCCTAAATTTATTAACTTAAGCCATTTTATTTTTACTTATCACACTTACTATCTTCCTTTCCTCTAAATAAACAGTTTGCTCTTCTAATTATTTCTGTCCACTCTCTATATACATACACACATAAATATAGATATTGATATATATATTTCATTAGATAAAAATTATTCACTTCACTTCAAGACAGTAATTGTTTCTATAGTTGTTCTTTTCTTTTGCTTAAATAAAATTTTAAGCACTTTGATCATTTGGATTGTGGTAAATGCTAATAACCAGTGAATTCAGGTAATACACACCTATTAAATAAGATCAGAAGGCCATGTGTAACTAACAGATATTTCACCATGAGCCTGTATTTTAACCTGATGCCATTCTTCTGCTGGATAAATGAGCCAAATCCCAGTGGAGAGCCTTGCATATCATTGAGAAAACTGTTAGTAGCCTATGATCATAGCCATTAGTCTGTTTATAGAAGCTAAAAAAAAATATTTTTTTTCTGAGATTATCACATTTTTTCTAGAGAAAATCTATACTGTTATAATCTTTATCTATCCACACAATGACTTTATTATATGACTTTAAACAATTTTGCTTTATTTGAATAAAACATAAATTAACAGTGAATTACAGTAGAATGATTATAAAAGTATGTGTGATGACCACATTAATTTCAAATGAATTCATTATGATTAGTGCTATTACAATGAATACAAATGAGTTGACAATAACATGACAGTAAAAAATGTTCACATTAAAATGTAGAAAGGGACACAAATATTGTTATAGAATATTCAAACTACTTTTCCTTCTTTTACAATAATTTTGCACCTGAACCTCTAAATTCTAATGGCAAAGCTTCAATAATAGAGAATTCTTGACAGTAGTAAAGGGTTAATGATAGATGAAGCTTATTCTTTAAGTCCTGCTTAAGGTAATGATATGAAGGATCCCTTCACTTTACATATTTCACAAATTTCCTGAGCCTTTGATTAAACTAGTAAAACCTTTCAATTGTTTTGGAGTCAACCCATATTCTGACAGCAGGTATCTACCCTCCAGACACATAGTCTGGCAGCATAAATGGCAGATAAATGGATACTGCCATGTTTACTTCATCACTCCTTGAAGTGCTGCCATTCCTATAGCTACCCTACAAGGAAATCCCAATTCAGGATCCAGTCAGTGTTGCCTTATGTACTACTTCCCAGAACTGTATTCCATACATGCATCTGTTGGAGCAGCAGAGCCAAAAATGCCAGTGCCCCAGATGGCTGTACTCACTAACAAAAACAGAAAGCAATGAGGTGAAATCCTGATGTTCTGCATGGGCCCCTTTCCTGAAAGCTTATAAAATCAATCAGTGAGCAAACATATCTGTTCAGTAACAAAACAAAAATTAAGAATCGATAGATTTAAAACTTTTAAAATAATAAATATAAAATAAGCATAGGGAAAATAATATTTATATATTTATGAGGCCAATATTTGTTAAGGCCTACCAGGTGTCACACCCTTTGCACTACGGACTGAGATATGCTAGTTGAGAAGGTCAGGTCATTTCTCTCACAGAGCTTATTTACGGCAAGAGTCGTATTGACTTGTTAATCACCCTTAGCTCAGATACCACCCTTTATTACAAGTAAAATGACTACATGTCTTCTGTATTGTCTTCAAGATTTTCGGCATGGCCTTATTATTTTACGGTTTAGGTAAATATCAGCACCTTCTTAATCACGTAAGGTCATGCCCAAACTCCCTGTTACCCGAGTGAAACTATGTATGACAATTAGTCTAAGATACTGTTACCCAATATTTGCAACCTCACGCTTGTTAATTTTTATTTGTACATCTTGTTATTCAAGGGATTTTTTTTTACTGTTGTTCTTTGTCCTAAATGCTTTCTTAATACTTAAGCAACTTAAGGTTGAAATGAGATTCTTGTTCAGCTTAATTCCATCCTTTTTCTTAGTTAAAAATTGTGTAGTATGAGGATTAGGGACTTGTTATTTTCAGTTCACAAAGGCATACTATGTAAGTACTTACAGAAAATGAAAAATGTTTATTTTAATGATCATACTAATGGTAATCATTCACTGACAGATGGGCACTGCATATTTTGTAGTTTCAAAACACTGCCTCTTTATTCATTTCTACAGCCCCAATCTTAGTAAATTCACTTCATAAACATAATCAAGATTATTAAGTAACCCCACTAGGAAAAATATATAAATTTATATATCCATACTCTCTCTTGTCTCTAAAGAAGACACATATTCCAGCCAAATAAAACTTCTATACCTGTGATCTTGATTTTAACTCTCTACATTTTCTGGAATTTTGTTCCAGAAGTAATCCTTATTCTGTATCCAGTCTCTCAACTCTGCTATCACAGAAACTGGATCATCAATAAGTGACTAATATAAATAATAGATTAAGGTAGCAAGGTGGCAAAGGGCATACATGCATCTTATGCCAGATTTCTTGCTTTTATTACCAAGTTTTAATCAATATGTACAAATTATATGAAGTAAGAATTACAAAATATGTACATTCAGCAAATTTGAATTGAATATATCTATTCAATTTCTCTTGTGTTCCTAGTAAACAAAACATGTTAACAATATATCAATCCAATATAATGCTATTTATAAAATATGCTGTCAGTTATGTGGTAACATTCTTAACAATTATATTTATGTTATATAGAAGAAGTTGTATTTTAGGGTTATCTAAATACAGGGGCAAGAAAAATTACCAAACTATGAAATCGACACCCAAGGGAATTAACTATAGGACTTTTTGGACATCCCGTTAAGTGGACTATCCCTGAAAAATTACAAATAACATGTGTTAGCCACATCAACATTGAGTGCCTTTAAAATGTAAACGAGTGCTTGGTTACACAATTACAGATTCACAAAAATTATACAGAATAGGCAATACATTTATACAAATGTCAAAAGCGTCATGATGAAGTGGAAATGCTGAAAATTGATTGTCTAAAAGATTAGATTCTGTATTTCAAACTACTTCCTACTGTGACCTTGAAAATGTTTACCTTTAGGACTCTAAAACTGACTACTATATAATGTCCAAAGTATATATTTTATACATCAAATATATTAATATATTGTAGAATATATTATACATAATAATATATGATATACATGAGTTGTAGAGATAATTATATGTTATATCATACAGTTCTCATCATTTTGTATTTCTATACTCTTCGCCTTGACATTACATACTCAGAGAGATGATTGTCTTTAAGATTAGTGACAGAAGATTGCTCCCTTCAAAACCAAATAGCCAAGTAAAGTGGTCTACTTAGCAGTGATTCTAAAATTTGTCATCAGTTAGTTGATGAAGTACAATAATTTCACATTTATCGATAAAGTTATCAGTTTAGAAGATCTGTCACATTCACAGAGGACACATTTAATACTCTAAATATATATCTGGTAAGTGGAAATATTTATATGACTATTGTGTAAACAGCCAATGTGAAAATAGAAGAGATTTAGCTGTTTTTATCAAGCCAACTAGGCAGATAATTCTGCCAATCTCCCTCTCTATCACCATTCCAGTTTTCTGATTAGCATAATGGACTAATTAATCAAAATACATGAAAAATTGTAGTCATGATGTTTACCTATGATATTTACCAAATAAATATCATGGAACATTAGAACATTAGCCCTTTGAGATGTGCATGAAAGGTGTTAAAAATAAGTTTTGAAGACACTGTATTTAATCTCTCCCTTCCTCATCCCTGGGAAATATATAATATGCAGAGGCTTACTATGCTTGCTTAGTGTCCTCATATTTATTGGCTCAAGGTATTTTATGTTGCCAAAATGATAATTTGTTTTTTTAATCGCTCTTGTTGCCCAGGCTGGAGTACAATGGAGCGATCTCGGCTCACTGCAACCTCTGCCTCCCAGATTCAGGCGAGTCTCCTGCCACAGCCTTCCTGAGTAGCTGGAATTACAGACATGCACCACCACGCCCGGCTAATTTTGTATTTTTAGTAGAATGGTGTTTCTCCATGTTGGTCAGGTTGGTCTCAAACTTTCGACCTCAGATGATCCACCAGCCTAGGCCTCCCAAAGTGCTGGGATTACAGGCATGAGCCAGGACGCCTGGCCAGATGATTATTAACATATGAGTGGAGATTCTACAGATGCTTAGGGCAATGCTTGCAGAACTCCATTAGTGTTACTAATTAATGTTTTATGAGACCAGAACCTTACTCTAGTGTCAATACAATATTTTATCATCTAATAAAATGCATTGAAAAGCCATTCTTCTGCTAAATATGTCAATTCACCTAGGAATGATATATTATTGTACTTAAATATATCATAGAGTATATGTAAAGGATCTTCATTGGAGAATGTTAGAGTTTCATATTTAAAATGAAAAAGAACCTGTCTCCCTCTGAATCATTCCTCTCAAACTTCCCTTCCAGTTCTCAGCTCTTTAGTGCCCCATCCTGTATAGCTGGGTCAATTCATGCTTCCTATCAGTTTCTGAGGCAATTTTTATAGATGCAGAAATTCCAATCAACAGCTTTATGACCCTTGCTCTCAGTAGGGCTTTGATCAGATGAGTCTCCGTAATTTGGGATCCCTCAGTTGAGGCATGATTTCTAGTCTCCTGCCTTGCTTTCCTATTGTTTCTAATCAAGACTGAAACAGAGTGGTTCGCAGTAAGGACTGAGGTGTGTTCTGTTGTCTCTATATCAAAGATTCATATAGGAATAGATATTGTTTTTTATGCTCCTGATTCCTAATTTTTCTCTGTTTCTTCTCCAAGTAGCCCTACAGTGAACCTCACCTGAAGCACAGCTGTCCTGCCTTACTCTCTCTGGTGTTACTGTGTGACCTTAACATTTAACCCAAATTTACATGGAAAGATGGTATCACTGTTACTGGTAAATGCATATCCAGAATGCCTTCATCTCAGCTCTAGTGTCTATTTTAATTCTGAATAGTGCTACAGAATAAAGATTGACCTGTGACTGGATTAGCCTGGCCATGATAACGCTATGCCTCAACTAGAGTATCTACTGCTTGCATCAACTTCTGCTGTATTTTGTTGAATATCAAATTCTTCCCTACATCATTCTCTCTGATGCTGAGAGAAGACTCTGACTAACCTTTGAGCCACAACATGATAATGCCAGATTATCAAGTAAATTTAATTGGTTTATATATCATTATCACACAAATATGTTTTTTAATAATAATCTTGTATTTATAATGTTTATGTAATCAAATCTTACAATACTAATAGGTCAAGTATAGTTTACTAGTGCAAAACAAAACAAACAAAAAGCAGACAAAAACTCATGATTTCTAGAGGCAAACAGAAAATTAAATACCGACATGCAGGTACACCTCATTTTAATTAATACATATGTATGCCGTATTTTTTCAACAAAATCTTTATTATTGTAGAGAATAAATTCATTCATTGAAAAATAAAATATTATGCTTTTCTAATACTCAACATCATTTTAAAATTCATGTACTTGTAGATATTGATTGATTAAAAATATAAATAGCCCAAGAAGTTTGTTTATTAAAATAATATTATTAAATTAGTTGTCAATATGAATTCTTAATAACCTGAAATATCTTATGGCTGTAATTATCTTTCAATGTATGTATATGACTTTTATTTTTGCATGATCTCATAAAACAGTTCACCTTGTAAATCTTATGTTTTTGTTTCAATCAAAAAGTCAGTTTGAATAATTTCTTTTGCTTCCCACGTGAAAGTAAACTGAAAATAGTTCTTAACTGCAGCCTTTATACTTAATTCCCAATGTGACAGTTTTGAAAGGTGGAGCCTAATGGGAGGTGTTTAGGTCACGATGGCTCACACTTATCTGCCTTCCACTCTGTGAGGATGTAGCAAAAAGGCCTTCACCAGGTGCTTGTGCCATAGTCCCAGACTTCCCAGCCTCCAGAACTGTGAGCCAATAAATTCTTGTTTACCATAATTTTTTTTAAAAAGTAGTCCTTAACTTTGAGTAACCATGCCAAGAAGAATTGGTATCCACAGGGAAACTTTAGTTGTGTATAGCAGTATAATATATATTTCTTTCCAAATTAATGTATGGCCTACAATTTTAACCTCTAGTATGTATATAGTCTGTGGGTAGATTCTAATAGTTATTCGAGCTCCTTCAAATAACATATGTTTATATATATGTCCCCATGTGGATTTTTTCTTAGAATAAATCTAATATTTTATAGGTTCTCCAAGGTGGTTGTAAAACTATAAGCTGAAGGACCATTGCTTTAGGGAGAGTCTGGTCTTTCTATAACACATTCTGGGGTTTGTATACACAGAGATATATTCTCAGTAAAAAGTGTATCTTTGTTTATTGCTTTCCAAATTATATGCTATTGGCTCTCGAGTCTTCAGAATGTCCAGATGGTGCATAAGGTGACTTGAGGCTCAAGTCTGGTTGTTTCTAGCCACAGCTGGCCATGTCTGAGGCTTCTTAGAGTACAGCTTGTGCAAAGATGCTTGGAATAGCATGCTCCTTAGCCCTAGCTGACGAGCATGAGGCAATGCATCTGATCACCCCTACTCTGGCCTAGCATGATGAGAGTAAAGAGATTTTTTTTAATACCTAGACAGTGTTAATACACATGCTGCTGTCTATTGTGAAGAAGGAGCCTATATTAGTTATCTACTGCTTCATATTAAAGTTCCTCAAAATGTAGTGGCTTAATATAGCAAACATTTATTATCTGACATAGGCTCTGAGTGTCAAGAATACAAGAAGAACTTAGTTGAGCTGTTCTGGTTTAAGGTATCCCAGGAAGTTGCAGTCAAGGGGATAGCCAGGGCTGGAAAAATCACCTAGCTGCAGGCAAGAAGTTGTCAATTTCTCCTTATATAGACACTGCTATCTTCTGAACAAGTGCTATGAGGGAGTGTGCACATGAAAGAAAGTGATGCCACGCTGCCTTGTCTGACCTGGTCACTGAGTCACATAGAACTCTTTCTGCTTTATTCCACTCATTAAAATCCAATCACTAAGTCCACCCCCCCCTCAATGGGTGGGATTAAATAAGGGTGTGACTACAGGAGGATCACTGGAGGACCATCTCAAAGGCTAGCTCTCAAGAAGCTAGAGCTCAAGAAGCAGCCAGAGGATTGAGTCATTCTGATGCCTAAAGAGAATGACACATAGCTAAATGTGTGTGTGTGTGTGTGTGTGTGTGTGTGTAAGGAAAGTCTAGAAAACAGATTTCCAGGCCGGGCGCGGCAGCTCACGCCTGTAATCCCAGCACTTTGGGAGGCCAAGGTGAGTGGATCAGGAGATTGAGACCATCCTATCTAACATGGTGAAACCCCGTCTCTACTAAAACATACAAAAAATTAGCCGTGCGTTGTGGCGGGCGCCTGTAGTCCCAGATACTCGGGAGGCTGAGGCAGGAGAATGGCGTGAACCTGGGAGGAGGAGGTTGCACTGAGTTGAGATCGCGCCACTGCACTCCAGCCTGGGCGACAGAGGGAAACTCCGTCTCAGAAAAATAATAATAAAATAAAAAAGAATTAAAATAAAAAAACAGATTTCCAGGCAATAGCCACAAATTTCTGTTTTCACACATATCAGATATTTTGTCCATTGCAACTGATGTATTCTTTTATTGGTGTTCAACAACTCAGGTAGCTTTAAGAAAAAAACTATATCTGTATTACAAAATAAAGTATATTATTTGGAAATAATTTGTTTGAAAACAGTTGAACTTCATTTGTATTATTAGAAACCACATTTATTTAAACACTGTATTTCTCAATAAAAGAAAATGAAGAGCTAGTTCATTTAAAATATGAATGTATACCTTTGGAGTGGTTGGAAAATCAATTTTGTCACTATTGAGTGTGAATAAAGTTCTAATCTCTCAAGACAGTAATGAAATCATCAGCCAGGCATCTTGATTCATGCCTATAATCCCAACATTTTGGGAGGCTAAGGTGAGAGGATTGCTTGAATTCAAGAGATTGGGACCAACCTGGGCAACACAGCAAGATCCCATTTCTACAGACTTTTTCCTTTTCTTTTTCTTTTCTTTTCTTTTTTTTTTTTTAATTAGTTGGGCATGGTGGTGCATGCCTGTAGTCCTAACCACTCGAGAGGCTGGGACAGGAAGATTGCTTGAGCCTTGGAGTTCAAGGCTGCAGTGAGCTGTAATCACACTGTAGAAAGAAAAACTTCAGCTGAGTTAAATTTAAAGGAGTTTAATTGAGCAAAGAACAATTTGTGAATTGGGCAACTTCCCAAGCCAGAGTAGGCTCAGGGACTCCAGCACAGCCATGTGGTGAAAGATTTGTGAACAGAAAAAGGAGAGTGACATACTGAAAATGGAAGTGGGGTACAGAAACAGCCAGATTGGTTATAGCTCCATGTTTGCCTTACTTGAACACAGTTGGAACAGTTGGCCACATCCGATTAGCCAAAACTCAGTGATTGGCACAAGAGTAGATTATAGTCTGTTTACACTTCCATTTAGACTATAGTTCATGATGTACAGAGAAACCTTTAGGCCAAACTTAAAATATGTGAGGAGGCAGCTCTAGACTAAACTTGATTTAACAATGCCATTGCAAACGAGCATGAGTGACAGACTGATACCCTCTCTCTCTCTCTCGCTCTCTCTGTCTCTCTCTCTCTCTATATATAATATAAATAAAATAAAATATCTCTCTCTATATATATATAAAATAAAAGACTCTTGAGTCTTGATAAGAAGTTGTGTGTAGATATTTCAGGCCTACACCTTAACATAAAAAAAAATTAAACTTTTCAAAAGAAAGTTTTATATAATTTTTATAAATAAAACATTTCATAAAATTAATATTTAGACTTAAATTCACTATAGTTTATTTTCATTACTATAATTATATAATAGGAAAAAATGAAACATTTTAATTTCTAAGTTCTTAATAATATTCCCAAATTCTCTTTTTTATCATTTTCTGTGCATATCATGATGTTAAAAAGTGCAAGACACTGTTACATTCCTCAAAAATAGGGAATTACTAAGATATAAGACTACAGCAAAGATGTATAATTTTACTCTTTGTCTCAATTAATAATGGAATCATGTGTACTAGAAGGAACTTTAGAGATAAACTAACAGTCAGTTAAAGTGAGATTTTCCAGATGAGAAAACAGAAACTCAGAAATTCAAGTGGTATATAAAACCACATGCCTACTTATGTCAATACAGCTTAATAGACGAGCTTAGAAATTATCAAAGCGATTTATTCACATTACTCCAATTTATTTTTTGGTGCTGGTGATCCCTGTATAACTTAGAAGGACATATTATTTAGCTTCTCACTACAATTACGTAAATAATATGTGTATTCATAATTTCAAAAACTCTATCAGCTGAAGGATGGCTAGATCACTTACAAATAAGAACACTGAAATCCATTTACACTCAAAGGTCTTAAAGTTGGTAAGACTGAAATGCCACTAGAATCCAGTTCACCCAGATGTGTATTATTTTTGTTGAATTATAGTTATTCTTTCAGTGCCTACATTTATGAAGTGGATAATATACTACTGTTTAAAAATTTGTCGATCTTGAACTCTATTTCCAATCTTAGAATTATATAGCAGTTATTTGAAAGAGTGCATTAATACAGTACTTGCAATTGCAAAAATAGATACCCATTGATATTTAACTGACGTAAAATATAGTTCAAATAAAGATGATATCGAGCTGGGTATATTATTCATGGTTGATAATCAGAATCATTTTTAAGGCAATTATGGTGACTTATACAACATATAAATTTTGACTGATATTTTTATTTGACATATTCTAAATTAAAGCATATCTTGTATATTTCCATATTTTTCAATAATCCTTTACTTTTTATGTTTAATAATTAAAAGGAAGTTGCCATAATATTTCATGTAAGCTAAAATGTTTATACTCCAAATCATTCTTTTTTAAACATTATAACCTAAAAGTAAACGATGGCAACTACTTCCTATAGATTTTGAGTGCTTTCTTCCATGGTATTATTATGAATAAAATAAAAACATTTTCACATTATCAATTATTTACTTTAGCTTATTTTAGAGTCATAGAAATAGCATGTGTTACTTAACACAATTAATCATAATAAAAATAATTATTACTTTACAGGATTATATATTCTGTATATACATAGATGACTATATTGTTATGTCATATTTCATTTCTTTTGACACCTTAATTTAGAAAAAAAATGTTTTCAGGTCTCTATGACTTAAAAAAATGAGCTGGATAATGACTATTTTTTACCAATGGTAACAAAAAACAAATTAATAAGAGGATGAAAGATGCTCAAATTGAAAACAGATATTTAGATTAGATAAATATAAGATATTTCCACCAATTTCTCAATAAAGTTGTGAATGGATGTTATGCTTCACTCACATAAATCTTACCATATAACAACTATCTGATACAGGATATTTTCCATCTCTGTGTCACTCATGGAAATATTATGTCTTCATCAGTTTTTTAAATGTAGTTTTCTTCCTTTCTAGTGTCTTTAGAAAATCAGAGTCTTTTTAAGAAAGTAGTGCTTACCACAAATCGAGCTGTGAAAATTGCAGGGTTTTTAAGGCAGCTAATAGGGACTAAATTTGGTAGTTACAAGATGATATAATCAGACATATGGAAAAATTAGAGAAAGTTATTAAAGTGGAATTACTCTCAGATAGTAGAAAAAGACCGTCAGAGAGTCTTCATCCAGGTCAGTGAGTTACTTTGTTCTTTTTTTGTTTTTGTTTTTCTGCTGAGTCATTAGTAGAGACTGAAGTATTAAAAAGCAGAAATGACAATGAAAAGCAAACAATCAACTCCTAATTAACAGAAAAGTGTGTAACCAGTGTGATATGTTCCACTTACAAAAATACTCCACAAAATCCAGAGATGACAAAAAAATATATGTTTTCAGACTAGACTATTTTGGCTTAGCTCTGGAGCCTCCCATTCCAGTCAGTCACAAGTAACCAAATACATAAATAAAATAATAATATAGTATTATCTAGTTAATCAATCAAATTTTAATTTGTGTGATCATTTCAGTTCAACTTTCCTTCTCAGAAGTGTGAGTTGGGCCAGGCGCGGTGGCTCATCCCTGTAATCCCAGCACTTTAGGAGGCCTAGGCGGGCAGATCATGAGGTGAAAAGGTTGAGACCATCCTGGCCAACATGGTGAAACCCCGTCTCTACTAAAAACACAAAAATTAGCGAGGAGAGGTGGCATGTGCCTGCAGTCCCAGCTACTCAGGAGGCTGAGGCAGGAGCATCGCTTGAACCCAGGAGGAGGAGGTTGCAGTGAGCCCAGAGCGCGCCAGTGCAATCCAGCCTGGTGACAGAGCAAGACTCCAACTCAAAAAAAAATAAACAAAAACAAACAAACAAAAGAAGTGTGAGGTGGGAAGGGGAGGGCACGTGCCCATGCTGCCCATGCTGTGGTATGAATGAAATTCCATTCTGCAATACAAATGTCCACATGTTCAAGTTGGAACTGGTAAATCTTTTCACAAAAAGAAAAATAGAAAGAAAAAAAGAAATTCTTTGTAGCACTTACCAATTTTTTTGTGGCATGCATATCCTCAGTTTCAAGCTAACAATGCTTTAACAACTGTGAACCTTCTGAGTGTTATTAACTATCAGCTATCCCAAGCCTGTAAGGGGCCAGCTTCAGCACATTCCTGGTTTGACTTCTGAGCACAGACGGAACTAGGTTCTGACTTCTTGCACCTTGCTAGGATGCAGGAAGTCAGAGCCTAGTTCCAAATCACGGGTTTAAAAAATAAAATGAAAGAACATATACACCAACACCCCACCCATAGAGAGCTTTTGGCCCACATGCTGATGAGATATTCATGTTCTGCAGGGACAAAAGAAGCTTCTTCTCAGGTTTCCTCCGAGCCCATGAGACGAAAATAAAAGCAAAACACAGATAACCACACCCTGGAAAGACATTGAATATGGTCCATTCACCAACCAGAAGGATGTAGAAAGGACAATGTGCCTCATTCTTCGGCCTCCTGAACTTTCTTTCCCAGCTCTCTCTGATCTCATCTTTCTCTCATTCACCTCTGAATCTTCTTATAATATGATGGGTGAAGGGATGGTTGCAAAGGTTTTATTTTTAAAATCACCCCATTGTTTCTCTACTGTACTGCAAAACCTATGATAGTGAATTATCAAAAGTTCTAATATTTGTGCCATTAGAGTCCCAGAAGAATAAATTAAAAAGATTGGTTCAGAAAAATACTTGAAAAAATACTGACCAAAACTTCCAAAATTTCGTAAAAGATACAATGAAGTAGTAAATCGAAATGATTTTATAATTTGGCAACAGAGGTGATAAAAATGTGTACTTATTTACCTCAGACAAGGACATAAAGACATTATTATAGCTACTTTTTTCTGTCTAAGCAAGTTATGGAAAGATTTAGGAAGTTAACTGGAGATATGGAATAATCAAACTTTTAGATATTTACAAACATAATATTTGCAGTGAAACATGCACTCTATTTTAGTAGCAAACTAGACCATGCAGAAGAAATAATTGGTAAACCTGAATACATAGCAAGAAAACTATTAAAAAAAACCTAGAGAGAAAAGACATTTAAAAAATAAACATAGCCACAGTGAATGGTGAAAGAACTGACAACATCCTAAATTAGGTGCAGTTGGAGAATTTCAAACACACAGAGAAGATTGCAGGAAACATTAAAAATAAATAAATAAACTGATAGATCCAAGAAGCTAAATTAACCCCAAGCAGAAGAAGTATAAGCAGAAGTATACACCAAGACACACCTTGGTCAAATTGCTTAGCCAGTGATAAAGAAATAATCTTAAAAGCAGCTGAAGAGAAAAAAGATGGAGGAACAAAGATAAGAATAACAGCATACCTCTTATCAGAAATAATTGAGGCCCAAAGACAATGAAGAAATATCTTTAAATAATTTGAAAAAGTAATAAGCTTTAATCTAGATTTCTGAAACTAGGAAAAAACTTCAAAACCAAAGACAAAATAAAAATATATTAAAACATACAAAAACTGAAAGAATTCATTACCAAAAGAGCTATGTTATAAACAATAATAAAGTAAATCTTCCTAGCGGAAGAAAAATGATAACAGAGGGAAATCCATATCCATACAAAAAAAGAAGATTTATTTATTGAAAATGGTAAATACTTGAGTACATATGAAAGACTTTTCTGATTATTAAAAATCTTAAAATTGGTAATTGATTGTTTATGGCTAAATTATAATAATATATATTAATAATATTATGCAATGTTGTAAAAATCTATAGAAATAAAATGTATGACAAAAATATCACAAACCCAAGAGTTAATTGGAAGTATACTGTTACAACTGAAGTCAAATAATATTGCTTGAAGTTAGACTATACTAAGGATATTTAATAAGAAACTGAAATTCAGAATAAAGAGTTAAAACTAGTAAATCACAATAAATCCAGAAAAAATAGGAACATAATAAATTAGCATAAGAGATGTCATAATAAAAAATAATTAAGCAACCTAAAAGAAGAGAGAAAATGAAAAAGAGGGAGAACAAAGAATCAACAGACAAAAGAGAAAACAAATAGCAACCTGGCAGATTCACACACAGCTGTATCACCACTCATATTAAATGTGAAGAGTGTACACACCTCAAGTAATACTCAGTACTTGTCAGATTGCATAAAAAATAAGAGCCAATTATATGCTCTGGATAAAAGATCCACTTTAAATGCAAACACACAAATAGATTAAAAGGGAAAAGACAGGAAAAAAGTCATCCTAATATTAGCCTAAAGAAAACAGAAATGTCAGGATTAATATTAGACAAAGTTGATTTCAAAACAAAGACTATGGACAGAGGAGAGTCACTTTAAAATGATAGAGGTTAAACCATCAAGAGGAAATACCAGTCCTAAATGTTTATACACCAAATCACAGAGCTTCACAATACATATACTAAAATCTGATTAGCTGCAGAAATAGACAAATCTACCAGAAATCTGTAAAAAATTTTAAATTTATTTTATTAATTAATAGAATGAACAGAAAAAAACAGGTAAGTATATAGAAGACCTGAGCAACACTATTGACCAACTTGACCTAAATAAAAATTATAAAACACTACACACACCTAGCAACAAAAGCAGGTTGGAAAGCAATGCTTAAAATTAGTTATATAACATTTTTTTCACAATATTTACAACTTTTTTAAAACCTTAAATGCCTTAAAATTCATTTTACCAAACTGAAGTCAGTAAAATGGTGTTGATTTTTATTTTCCTTCTTTGTATTTTTAACTTTTTTTAATGAGAAATATATATATGTATGTGCATATGTATATATACACATATACACATGTACGCACATATATTAATATATATGTGATATTATATATCATGTGTCAGTTTCCTGCTTCTTTCTTCTTAACTTTAGCCATTTTTTATGCATGCTAGCCTGATATTCAACTCTCAGCTCTGCATCTGTTTGCCTAAAAGTGTTCAGGGGCCACTGGGGACCACTTTTCCCATGTTCCCAGGAGGCTGGGACTGCTAGGGAATTAATGCCACCCGGGAACAGTGCTCTACCAATGACAGGCTGGGGTTAATGGGTAAGGACCCTAGCCCTCCCTCCCACAGCATGAGCTAGCTCTGTTTCTTCCAGAATCCTGTAATGGCATGAAGTCCCATTTACTCAGGGTGATAAAATAATGCAACCTTTGATGATTTTGTTTCCTTCCTTTTCTGGTCAGAAAAATGAGAATAAAATTATTTCTTTTAAAAAATACAAGCAACAGAGAATACATTGATTTAGATATATTGAGGTGAAAAATTGTAAAATTGATAGAAAACATATTTAAATACTGCCAGCTTTTCAAAAATAAAAATTTATTTATTTTTTGCTGAGAATTAAGAGGTCAGTAGTTTGATTTGTGGCCTGGGTGAAATTAAAAATCTAAACAGCCTCTGTGAGCAACACAGTAAGTCTTCTACTTTCAAAATATGAATAAATAACATAAAATTAAAGAATCTGACAAAAATCTTTAATAGTTCATACAAATGAAATTGAATAAAGTAATTTTTTTTTTTTTTGAGACGGAGTCTCACACTGTCTCACAGGCTGGAGTGCAATGGCGAGATCTTGGCTCACCACAACCTCTGCCTTCCAGGTTCAAGTGATTCTCCTGCCTCAGCCTCCCAAGTAGCTGGGATTACAGGCATGCGCCACCACGCCTGGCCAATTTTTTTGTATTTTTAGTAGAGATGGGGTTTCACTATGTTGTCCAGGCTGGTCTTGAACTCCTGACCTTGTGATCCGCCCACCTTGTTTCAATTACTTATTTATATAGTAAGATTGTTAAGCATAAGATACAATTTTGCAAAATTTTGCTTGTACATATAATGTTTCCTTCAAAAATATGTTCCCAAACGATAAATTTCAAAGTTTTCACAGTGCACTCCTATTTCACACACTGAAAACCAGGTGACAATCCTTAGCTTTTATTTATATTTGTTAATCACAATTAATTAGTTTAAAATAAGTGAGTTTTCTTCCATCTCTGTGATTTTCAGTAGAGACTTTTCACATCTTTTCCTCATTGATAAAAAGAAATAGAAAATCCAAGTTTTGACATCTAAAGCAACATTAGTAGAATCAGTCAGGCTCATTATTCTGATTTTTACTCCCACTCCAGAAATCCTTTTTAAAGTCTCTATTAAAATGAAAAATAAACCTATGAAACTTTAATGTGTGAAAGAAATAAACTGGTTATTACACAAAAATAATGCGTGAACATACATTCATACAAATTATCACATTTAATCTTTATCTCAAGTTGAAGGTCAGAAAATCATATTTGTTCATGGCCACACAGTTAGATCTGAGTCCAATGTTATTGCATGTTTTCCACAGAAGTTAATGTAGTCATTATGGCTAATAAAAGTCAGAATCGGCATTTGAAACCAAGTCAAGTTAGAGACTGGCTCTTTTTTCTACCTCATTGAAGCCTCTTAGCAACAGAAGACATGTTATTAAAACAACCTTTTTTGGGGTTATTACCATGGGCAACTTGGTGTATAGTAAGCTCTTTACATGCTTATTTTATCATTTTTTCATACCAATCTTTCGCAGTTGAATGAAACTGAAGCACAGAAATCTTAATGCTTATTCACGTTACACATGAACACGGCGGGTAATTGGTGAAACTGGAATTTAAATTAGGATATGTCTCTCTCCAAAGCCTGTAGAGTTTATCTTTTTCTGACACTTCTAAAATTTTATTTTTGTTGTATTGAAAGCATAGGCTGTAACAACTGATCTATTTCAAAAATTTTAATTTTTAAAATATTTTCTGCCACTGTATATTACCCATATCACCTTTATTATTTTGTACACATTTAGGCATTAGTGTTAGTTGTGCAAATAATACATTATAAGTTTTTTTATTCATACTATGTAGATTGACACTTTTTCTCCTAACAACTGATCCTTCATGCATTTAAGTTTTCTTTCTTCCAGAGAAGATTCTCCTCAACTACACCACTGAGTTGGAACTCTTTTATGCTCCTCTTCAGAAACATATATTGCTTCCTATAAAGTGAAACTTTCATATCCTTATATTTCTCACTATTACTTTTCTTTTATGTTGTCAATTTTACTTTTTTGCCTTACATACACTGTATTTACATCTATGTTCCCATTATTTTAATCTTTACTTATAGGTTACATAGTTCTCCTCTCACTTGCTGCTCTAATATATTGTCCTGTAGATTATATGTTTTCTTTTGCCAAGCAAATATACTGCTGTGTTGCCCAGAGCAGACTTCGCACTATTAGGCATCTCTGGGTTTTTTATTTGTTTGTTTTTTGTATTCAAGGGCTTTCTAAACTACTTTAAACCTGAAAATCAATGGTAATACAATCGCGACATACAATTTATTTAACTTTCACTCATTTCCTTGGTACTAAACTGAAAATAATTTCTTAGCCTTCTTCCTTTCTCAGAAAATAAACTTGAGACAAAGACTCATGTTAAGAATATTTTACTGGAGTCCTGGAGCAGTTCAAGGGGTCAGGAATAAGAGAGAAGAGAGTAAAGCAGGGATGTGTTACTGAGTTGGCCACAGGATTTTCTGAGATAACACAGGTCCAAGCACTTGAGGGAGAAAGGGAAAACATTTATACACTGGCTCCCATCCCACCAATCAAACTTTTTAGCAACACCACATCCACTTCCCTGTACTTTCAGGTTACACATGCTGGGTTCCAGTCACATTCTTGTTTCTGTCAACTAGGAAGTTCCGTGGTCTGAGAGAAGAGTCATAAAGTAGTGCCCGGGAGAGGCTGTTGATACATGGAACCTACTTGACATCTGGCTGGAGCCCAGGCAGGGCTGGCTGATGCAGCATTAGGGCTATAAAAGGCTATAAAAATCTAAAGCGGTGCATAAGGGATCTCTGGTAAAAAAAAAAAAAAAAAAAAAAAAAAAGCTGAGAATTGATAGATACACTTTCAGTAAATTCAGAAACATTTTCCTTAAAATCAATTCATTCTGTTGATGTTCCTAATTCATTTATACTGAAAATCACAAATTTTGTTTTCATAATGAAAATTTGTCATCTATCCGGTCTTACTCTGCTTCATACGCAATCCTTACCTGGTCCATGTTATAGATAGGATTGTTGTTCTTGATTTACATTGAAGAAAATTAGAAAATCTGTTCAAATTTCAGCCTTTGTCTGCTATTGTAGGCTGTATAGAGATACAGATTACATTCAAGTTTCAAGTGTATTTGAGTTAATGTTTTTATAAAAATAGAGCTTACAAGCAACTCAGTCTGAAAATTTTGTTTTAAAACATACCCAATTGGAATAAGATCCAGGAAAACATTAAAATAAGGCATATTTTTAACAACTTTATTCACCTTGCAATCATCCTATTGAGACCTGGGTTTTGTCTCAAATTATAGAACCTATAATTTGTGTTCAAATTTTCTAGTCTTTATTATCAATCCCAAATTTTTTAGCATGTTTTGCCAAAATATATGAAATCTTCCCTTTGATATAGACTTCTACTTTTCTAGTTCTTATAGAAAGATAGTCTCAATTTATCACAAAGGCATTATTTTACTTACCTGCCTGTCATCTTGAATAAAAGGTACATTTTTTACTTTCTGTATTTAAAATAAATATTTTTCCGGTGTCAGACTCACTACAATAACTTTTGCAATACAGTCGAGAAGCAATGGGGTGATTAAAAAAATAAAACATTTTCTTATTTTTTATTTTTTATGCAAACATCCCTAACCACTTCGCATATTAAAAATGACACAGATGTGACTAAGAGAGAGATCAGACTATAGGAAGCTGGGAGAGAAAGTTCGGGAAGCCTAAGAATGAGGCACATTCTCTGCTTATTCTTAAAAAGCAAAAAAATAACAGATGCTGGTGAGGTTGTAGAGAAAAAGAAACACTTATACTCTGTTGGGGGAAGTGTAAGTTAGCTCAACCACTGTGGAAGACAGTGTGGTGATTCCTTAAAGACCTAAAGACAAAAATACCATTCTACCCAGCAATCCCAATACTGGGTATACACCCAAAGGAACATGAATCATCTATTATAAAGACACATTCACATGTATGTTCACTGCAGCACTATTCACAATAGAAAAGACATAGAATCAACCTGAATGCCCATCAATGAGAGACTGGATAAAGAAAGTGTGGTACGTATACATGTGGAATACTATGCAGCCATAAAAAGAACAAGATCATGTCCTTTGCAGAAACATGAATACAGCAGGAGGCCATTATCCTTAGCAAACCAACAGGGGAAGAGAAAACCAAATACTGCATGTCCTCACTTTTAACTGGGAGCTAAATGATGAGAACACATGGGCACATGATGGGGAACAACACACACACTGTGGTCTGTCGGGGGCATGAGAGAGGAGAGATAAGATCAGGAAAAAATAGTTAATGAATACTAGGCTTAATACCTGAGCGATGAAATAATCTGTACAGCAAAGCCCCGTGACACACATTTAAACTATGTAACAAACCTGCACACTATGCCTGAACTTAAAATAAAAGATACAAAAAAAAAAAAAAAAGAAAATTTTTAGCCATGCACTGGTGTCTCTGCCTCCCTTAACAGCCCAGGGGGAAATAATCGATTGGAGGGAGAGCACATCAGTCTGAACCATCCCAGATTCCAATACTCTCAATTTTAAAATATGTCTGTCTGTATCTTTTGATCATCCATACCCAGAGAAACTCTGTCTCGAGTAGAAGAGAGACAGTTGATCAGCTCAGATGTGTGTAACTGTCAGGATCCAGTCAGTGTCCCTTCTAAGAGCAGCCCTCTGGTTTACAGAGTGTCCCACTAGTCCTGAGAAGCAATATAGCATAGCTGTTAAGAGACTGTACCCTAGCACATCAGACCTTTATTTTATTTTTTATTTTTTTTGTTGTTTCTTGTTGTTGTTTGTTTGTTTGTTTTGTTTTACTTTAAGTTCTAGGGTACATGTGCACAATGTGCAGGTTTGTTACATATGTATACATGTGCCATGTTGGTGAGCTGCACCCATTAACTCCTCATTTAGCATTAGGTATATCTCCTAATGCTATCCCTCCCCCCTCCCCCTACCCCATGACAGGCCCCGGTGCGTGATGTTCCCCTTCCTGTGTCCAAGTGTTCTCATTCTTCAATTCCCACCTATGAGTGAGAACATAGGTGTTTGGTTTTCCGTCCTTGCAATAGTTTGCTGAGAATGATGGTTTCTAGCTTCAACCATGTCCCTACAAAGGACATGAACTCATCCTTTTTTTATGGCTGCATAGTATTCCATGGTGTATATGTGCCACATTTTCTTAATCCAGTCTATCATAGATGGACATTTGGGTTGGTTCCAAGTCTTTGCTATTGTGAATAGTGCTGCAATAAACATACATGTGCATGTGTCTTTATAGCAGCATGATTCATAATCCTTTGGGTATATACCCAGTAATGGGATGGCTGGATCAAATGGTATTTCTAGTTCTAGATCCCTGAGGAATCACCACACTGTCTTCCACAATGGTTGAACTAGTTTGCAGTCACACCAACAGCATAGAAGTGTTCCTATTTCTCCACATCCTCTCCAGCACCTGTTGTTTCCCAACTTTTCAATGATCGCCATTCTAACTGGTGTGAGATGGTATCTCATTGTGGTTTTGATTTGCATTTCTCTGATGGCCAGTGATGATGGGCATTTTTTCATGCGTCTGTTGGCTGCATAAATGTCTTCTTTCAATACCATTCAGGACATAGGCATGGGCAAAGACTTCATGTCTAAAACACCAAAAGCAATGGCACCAAAAGCCAAAATTGACAAATGGGATCTAATTAAACTAAAGAGCTTCTGCACAGCAAAAGAAACTACCATCAGAGTGAACAGGCAACCTACAGAATGGGAGAAAATTTTTGCAATCTACTCATCTGACAAAGGGCTAATATCCAGAATCTACAATGAACCCAAACAAATTTACAAGAAAAAAACAAACAATCCCATCAAAAAGTGGGCGAAGGATACGAACAGACCTTTATGACCTGTTGGGAGAGTTACTTAACATTTCTCTGCCTCAGTTTCCTTATATAGGGCATCCCCAGGTTTTTGCATGATCATCAATAACTTTAGACACCTCCTGTGCCCCAACTTATATAAAGCATGGACTGTGCGGTCAATGTCACTATTCAATAACTCAAGGCGAAATTTGGCAGAGATTTTATATTAGTCAGGGTTATCTAGAGAGACAGAATAGGAGAAATGTGTGTGTGTGTGTGTGTGTGTGTGTGTATATATATCTTTGTATAGGGGAGTTTATTAAGTATTAACTTACATGATCACAAGGTCCCACAATAGGCTGTCTGCAAGCTGAGGAGCAAGGAGAGCCAGTTTGAGTCCCAAAACTGAAGAACCTGGAGTCTGATGTTGAAGGGCAGGAAGCATCCAGCGTGGGAGAGAGATATAAGCTGGGAGGCTAGGCCAGTCTCTATTTTTCACATTTTTCTGCCTGCTTTATATTCGCTGGCAGCTGATTAGATTGTGGCCTCCAGATTAAAGGTGGATCTGCCTGCCCCAGCCCACTGACTCAAGTGTTAATCTCCTTTGGCAACACCCTTACAGACAAACCCAGGATCAAGACTTTGCAACCTTCAATCCAATAAAGTTGACACTCAGAATTAACCATCACAGATGTAAACATGAAAGTGAAATGAAAAAAAGAAAGCGAGGGGAGATAAAGCAAAAAACAACAAAAAAGAATGAGGCACATTCTCTCATTCCCCCTTCCTCTTCATAGGGGAGCAGGCCATATTCAACGTGTCTTCATGGTGAAGGCTGCTGCTTGCTGTGCTATTAAGAGGATAATCCTTTGCTTCTGATCTTGGAGTCTTGTGTCTTCTGTCAGCATCCATGAAGCTGGCAGGCTAACTTCGTGGTTCGAAAGTAATATAAAATCTCAGGACTTTCAGTTCTTGGCAGTTCTGGCAATAAGAGTGGGAGGTTAAAGAAATGTGGCTTTCAGAAAAAAGAGTATGATGATCTCATAGGCTGATTGATTAACATGATTTGAGGAAAGTTGATGGAAATTGGTAAAGGGTATTTTCACTAAATTTTATGGTCTGTTTGATAATAAAAGTTCCTCTACTTTATTAGATGATAATGAGCAGAAACTGGGAGAGAGGTGCAGGCCAATACCTGGAAGTAGGTTGAAAGACAGCTGCCCAAATGTTGCACTGTCCTTGTCAATCTGGGAAGGCAAAAATTTCTGCCATCTTTCAGACAGCAGTTACAAAGACATGCACCTATAGTGAGCATGAAAGAGATAAAAGTTGTGACTGCTAGAGCTAGCAACATGTTGAATCATTAGATTCTGGTGTCCATGGGAGATGAGATTGCAAAGAATGTATCATTTGTTAAAAAGAATGGAAACATCTGGGCCATTTTGCAACCCAACTCATTCTGTAGACTATCATGCTAACCTTAGGTTCATTCTGAGATTTTTGCAATGGGTTTTGGCTGCCATGAGGAGGGCTCTCCTGAAAAGATTTTCCTTAAATAGAAAAATTCCTGTGGAAAACCACAGATAGAGGCACTAACTAGTTTTCAAGTTCTTATTGTCTAGATTGAGTTTACAGTGCCAATGAAGGTGACCTGCTAGATCAGGAGTCAGCAAATATTTTTGAAAGGGCAATAAAGTAAATATTTTAGGTTTTTAGACTAATAGCTTCCCTTACAACTATTTAACTGTATCTTTGTCGTACAAAAACTGCCACAGACAATTCACAGATGATCATGGCTGTTTTTTGATAAAACTTTATTTACAAAAACAGATGGCCAACCTACAGGCCATAATTTGTTAAAGAATGAGAAAGTAATATAAAGAATGCCTGATAAATTATTGTGGTGAGACCCATTGCCACGGAAAATTGTAGCTCTCACAATAAAGCTGGGTGAAAACTTAAAATGTGTTATCATAACAGTGTGGCAGCCAATGCCTTGGGTTGAAATGGACTTCTTTAAACAATTTCTGCCCTATGAGTGAAGCCTGAGTCAACCAGATGTCACATGCCTACATCTCTGTCAAACGCATTGTGGTTGTGGCTGCCAAGTTAAAGGGCACTCAAGGCTGAAGTAGATGTTCTTGCCACCCAATATAGAGTAGTGGGCAAACCTACAACATTGAAGTTTGCTTGGTTGAACCACAAGAACCTTGCTTACTGAGGTGGAATCACACATTTCACCGTGCTCCCCAGCTCTCCTTTCCCCCTGTGACAGCTTCAATTTGAACGAGGTCTCCCTGTCTCAAAGCGATTTGCACCTTTCTAAGTAAGCTGGGAAATTTGGGGGAAGCTAGGCACTCAAAACCGTTTTGTTTTTCTTTTTTTGTTTTTGTGTTTTTGTATTTTTAGTAAAGACGGGGTTTCACCGTGTTCGCCAGGATGGTCTTGATCTCCTGACCTCGTGATCCGCCCACCTCGGCCTCCCAAAGTGCTGGGATTACAGGCGTGAGCCACCGCGCCTGGCCCAAAATTATTAATCTGCTGGACTATTTATGATCTGTTGCTAAAAGAGAGAAGGTTTTTTTTTCTTGTTTATATTTTATTAAAATTCTAGCCTTTCAAGGATCTGCGCCTGATGTGCTCTCTCAATTTTAAATCCTTATATTGCGTGTTTCAGGGCAAGGGCTTGTCTTTTAGTGCCACAATAACCATTAAAACACTAGTGTCGGCCGGGTGCAGAGGCTCACGCCTGTAATCCCAGCCCTTTGGGAGGCCGAGGTGGGCGGATCGCGAGGTCAAGAAATGGAGACCATCCTGGCCAACATGGTGAAACCGAAACCCTGTCTCTACTAAAAATACAAAAATTAGCTGAGCATGGTGGCGTGCTCCTGTAATCCCAGCTACTCCGGAGGCTGAGGCAGGAGAATCCCTTGAACCCGGGACGTGGAGGTTGCAGTAAGCCGAGATTCAGCCTGGCGACAGAGCAAGACTCCGTCTCAAAAAAACAAAAACAAAAACAGACAAACAAAAAAAATCACCAGTGTCTTGGTTACCAACAATGTCAAATATACCCAGGCTTGCTGTACACTAGCTTCGGTTTATCACTTTGGTTTACTTCTTACTTTTTTATTGATTGGTTGGAAGGTGGGTGGCTACCGGGGATATGCCTCAGTGTTTCTTGTGAGTTTGGCTATGCCTGTAAAAGGATTTTGTTTTATTTAATTCAGTAATTCTGGGTATTTTACATTAGAGATAATATCAGAATATCTAATTGACTATAATAGTTTTAATAAGCCATTCTCATCTTCTATATTATTAACAGCTTGGTGATCTGGAGTGATATGGATTGTGATAATACACGGTAAATTCCTCATTAATTTCTTTTGTTTTTCTTCATTGTTTATTTTCTTTTCCTTAAAAACTAGCTTCCTTATACCAGAAACAAAAGCTTGTTTCATATGCTGCACAGATAAATACATGATGTACCTTTTAACAATGCTCTATTATTTGGGTAGAAGTCAAGAAAAGAAAGTTGAAACCTAGACTTTGGGTAAAAATAAAACACCTCTGCCTCCAAGAAGAAAAGGCAATCAATGTATACGCTATTTGCATGCTCACCTAGATATATACTGCTATATAAGAAGGCTCAAGACTGGTCATTGATATTAAAATTAGGCAATTTACAGTAATAATAGCCACATTACCCTCTGTGAGGTAAAATTCATATTGTTGAATGCATGACTTTCCTCTGCAGTACCATTATAGTCATACATTTTATGATCCCATTGACTCATGCCTTCAATGGCTGTGGTATAATCTGACTGACATGCACAAATAGATCAATTTCTCAATGTGATTATTCTTCCACTTTACCAGATTTTTGGTGACTATTTTACTGTTAACTAAATGTCTTCTGATTCTGGGCATATTAAAGAGATTATCAACTCACATAATTTTTGCAAAATTTCTTGGTTGCTTATCTTCCAACATTGTTTCTTCTAAGTTTTGGATAGTGTGCCAAAACATAATTAGTATAGACCCTTAACTCAGGCTTATCTGCATTTAAAGACATTGTGAAAAATAAAGTCTAAAGCTTGAAGGTCTGCCTATATGAAGTATGCTTTTCTCCCTTCTGTTTAAGGAGGATACCTAAATTCTATAGCAGATTTCTACATGGCTGATGCAAGATCATTTGTTAAAAATTTAGCAAATATTGTCATTATGAAAATGCAGATACCCTACTCATTCAACTTCTGTGTGTATTAAAAATTTATTTTGTCTGATCTAGTAGATATTAAGTCCAATTAATGACATAGTGTTACTCAAAGACTGACTTCATACCTAAATTATAAGGTAACTCCCAGACCACCATTGGTTTGATTATCATCTGGTGTCCTGTGGTTTTATTCTCTACTAAGACCCAATAAAAATCCAAAAGTTGTTTCTTAAAAAGAGAACTGATGTTTTCCAAAGAAGAAATGTCTTTGCTCTAAAGCTCTAAGACTGTAAGTTTTCTTAGAGTGTTTTATAATCCCCACTACAGCATCCCAGTTTCCCATTGGCTCCAGAGATTCAAAATGTCCAAGTGACAGAACTGCTTTACTTCTAGATTAGAAAAGTGTAAATATTTTTTTTATTTTCCCTTGGATCTGTTAAATGTCAGCAAATTTATATCACCCAGGAGATAAATCAGAGTACTACAAATAACTATGAGAATACTAAATATTGTGCTACCTTCTTAGTGTTAGAGGACAATTTCTAATAACTTTCACTTTGAGGGGATAGATGGACATGACCCAAACCACCACAATGCATAATCATTATTGAGATCTCAGGACACTAAATTTTCATGGAATTTATCTCACACGTTCTGGCATGCATGTAACTCATCAAGGTGTAGAGTTACCTAACATTGCGTGTTTCCCAGCCCAGTGAATATAATACCATTATTATAAAAAATTAGTATTAGGCCCTATAGATGGTGATGGTGGGATGCTCAATTTTTCTGATAGATTTAATTGTAGTACTAAGCTAGAAAACATATATATCCCAAGAGGCAAGGTAGTCAATTTTAAACTACAGCCCTGTCAGATAAAAGTCTTTATTGTGTTGGGAAATAAAATACATTACTGAGATGAATATCTGGAGAGCAGATACCAGAATATCCATTTTCTTTAGTAAAGAACAGTCTCTGCAAATGTACTATATTCATCCATAATTTTTTTAACCTTGTAAGGTATATTCCCTGTAATATTGTAAGGTGTAATATATTACCAAAGATTTTAGTTGTTATCATCAGGAGAAACAGACAGCAAAAACTCTGAGAGAAACTCCATCTTTCTGGCCAATCTACCACTTTTGATTACTGTTCAGTAGTCTCAGGTAGTAGAAATTTAATGAAGACTTTGAGCAAACAACCACCATTCAAGTTACCACCCAATCCTAGACTTAACCTCTGTGGCATGAGTATAGATAGACCCAAAGCATATGACAAAGCCTTCAAAACTGAATTGGCATTAGAACTAACACCTTCAAAAGTTCAGACCATACTTGTAGCATGAACTACACCACTTTTATTTTCTGCTAAGAGAAACACAGCAACATTCTCCTGAGGATTTATATGGGACCCAGAATTTATGCAACATATTTTTTAAATGCTCAGTATACAATTCAAAATTACTCGACATATAAAGAACCAGAAACATGTGACCAATTCTCAAAGGAAAAAGCTAATACATAGATACTAATTATGAGATAATTCAGATGTTGGCATTATCCAAGAAATTACAGCAGCTATTGAAGCAGGATATTACCCTGACCCTTTCAAGGGACTCATGACAGGGATGCCTCCTTAACTCAGCCTGCTGCTCTCAGGTCCTCACAGGAGGGAGCATGTGAGCAAACTAGGCAGGAACTGGAGGGCATGAGCACTGAACAGGATGGCAGCTTCAGCGCCAGAAGAAGTGAATTCCAGGCAGGCCCTGCTACAGCATCTGTAAGGGGTGCCTGCAACCCCTAAAGCCCCAGAGCACATGTTACAGTGCTCTTTTAGCTCTGCCAATTGTGGACAGCTTAAATGTTAAAAGCTCAGTGGGCCCTTTGCCTCGTGGTTTGGGGCAGGTGCCATCTGCCAACAAGGGCAAAGGGCCAGTGTGACAGCCTTTCATATTTGCACGGCTCCCAAGCTCTTGTCCAGTGTTTGTAAAAATGAAGTCACATGAATGAATTGAAGAATGGTAAATGTGAGGGATTTTATTGCCAATGAAACTGGCCCTCAGTGGGGAGGAGAGCTGAAAAGGGGAGTGAAGGGGTTAGGTAATCCTCCCCTGAATTCTGGCTGTCTCCAGCCAGATTCTTCTCCAAAGTTATGCCATCAATTGTCCCCTAAATTCAAGCCACTTCTCTTCAATGTCCAGCTGCTGCTTCTCCCTGCTGGCTGAGTCTGGAGTCTTTATAGGCACAGGATGGGGCTGGGCAGAACCATGGGTGGTTTAGGAAAAAACAACATTCAAGAGGGAAAACAGGGATATATATTCTCACTTTGGCCTGTGGTTTCAGGCTTTTCGACTTGAGGGTAGGGTTTTCGCTGGGACCTACCCTTTCTGCCTAGAATTTCTCTGCCTCCTGTTCCAATCACTATTATAACGGTCTTCTATGAAGTAAAGTTTACCACGTGAAACAAATGGAAAGAGAGAAGTTGTTAGCTCAGAAATAGAAACTATAAAAAAGAAACATGAATTTTAGAACTGAAAACTACAGTATTTGAAACTTTAAAGAATCCAATGGATAAACTCAATTAGCAGAATGGAAATGGCAGAAGGGACATTTAGTAAACTTTAAAATATGCTAATAATTATTTAACCTGAAGAACAAAGAGAAAAATACTTAAGAAATAAACAAAGCCTCAGTTTCGTGGATGCTTGTAAGAAGACTTGGGATTCTAAGGTCAGAGACCAAGGATCTCATTATTCACAGCACAGCCAACAGCTGTGTATATTTGATTCACTTCTTTTTCAGTACATTTAATTAGCTTCTCCTTACCACCATATCCCACTGGAGTGATGCATATGGACCAGAGGGATACCTGCATATACAGAAGATCACACTACAAGAAAGGAACTCTGAGTTTAAGACACCCACATCATTTTATAACAAGTGATAAGCATTCCTCCTCTCTAATCTGGAGAAAGACACTATTATTTTCCAAAGAAATTCACTATACTTTATTGAAAAGGTAATCTGGAACAAAGACATTCAGTGCGCCTGGTCCCAAAACACACAGAAACAAGAAAGTCATAGAGAAAAAGAATATGCATGTACAAAACAAAAGTAACCTTTTTTGTGTTTGAGGCCTGCTTGATACTCTCTCCCCCTCCAACTCATTTAGGGACATGTTTTATCAGGGTGCAGAGTTATTCAAGATGTAGGGTGCCTCTATGTTACTCCTAAGTCAATTACCAAAGTTATTGTTTCCCTTTTTATTTTTCCTGGTATATATTCATTGAGTAAAAAATATGTTCTAAAGAATTAAACTATTCGTTAAGTTGTGCAAACAAATGAAATAAAATGACATATTTTCAGTACTTTAACATCACTGTTTAGTCTTCAAAGCATTAGTAGATAAGTTAAAAAAAATCACAGATACTTAAGCTTCTTTTTGTTTCAGAGGTGGGGGAATAATAGGGGTAAAGAGTTACTGCCATATTCTTATCCAAGATTTAATGTTTCATAAATCCCAGGATTACCCATATGAATTAAAAGTTGTGTATTTGTAAATAAGTTGTCATAATGTATTTCTATTTTTTATTTTCATAAAAATAAGCCTCATGCTGTAATTAAATTCAAATATAAGTGGTATGTAGGGCATATCAGCATAGTCACATTGCTAAGGACCAATTTCACAGTTGGAATTAAATGTTTTTTTAATGGTAATGAACTATGCACATGACGACTATTACTTTTGAAAGTAAAATGTAGGTTTTCAGCAGGAAGACAAAAGAATAATATTGGTAAAAAAAAAACAGTTCTTTTTTAGAAAATAAACTAGAAATTATTTATTAAGTTTGGATAAAGTTCACTACCTTTTACTACACTAATCCAATGTTGTTAATATTCTGTTCATTATTTAATATATTGAATCAGGTAACTATATCCCAAAACATAGTTTCCTTTAATTCAGTTGATTATTCAGTTGATTTTTCCTTTTCACGCAATTATTATTGCTGGAATAAAATATATTCAGTATTAGTAATAGCACATTTCAGTATTCTTATTTCTAACTACCACACACATAAAACAAAACTTTTGAGATGTCCTTTAAGTTTTAAGTAATTATTGTGTTTTCATGCAGGAGGCAGGTAATAAAAGCTTATCTTCCTCTCTGGAGTTCAGAAACAAATAAGGATCAAGATAACAGAGAGATGGAGATGAAATGTTAGATTTAAGGATAAAGTTTATTAGAGAATAGGGCTTTAATGTATGAGAAATGAGGCTTTTAATAGTAGAGAGGTGCTTTCCTAGTCACTAGAGCAACTGAACAACTGCAGAATACTGAAATAGGCAGAAAAGCTTTCTTGTCACTCTTAACTATATACAGAGAGTTACCAGAATGTCCACGTTGTGGGTCAGCACATCTGAAAATAGGAAGTGCAGAGAAAGCTGAACAAAGCGTTATCAGTTCCTTATTACAATTCCACCACTGGGGAGGAGTAAATGAGCAGTGAAAGACACAATTACATTGGAGTTCTCTCATGGAAACATGAGGTCACAGGAAAGGAGGTGCGTCTAACAAGAAGGTTGCTAAGATTTATGTTGATATGAAAGAAAACTAGATAAGATGTCAAAAAAAACTTGTATTTACACACTAGTTTTGTAACTAATTAAATTTGTGGCTTTGCCAAATCATAACTATTTATGGTAACTGTTCATTTATAAAACAGATGTTATAATACAGGCAGCACTACCAATTAATTACAACACATGTCCTACTGGGTTATTAATAAAAGAAAAGTTATATATGTTCACATGCAATAATAATGCATTTGCTTCTTGCCTATCTTATTTTTGTCAAACGTCCAAGCTGCCAGTATTTTACAAAAATTATTATACTAAAATTAAAAATGAACTAAGAAGCGAGACAGTTGAGTGAAACATTTGTGATTCAAAGCAATTATAGATGATGCATTTGAAGGGAGTGTTGAGACCTCAGTATTGTATTCCATTGATTTCCTGATATTAAGAGTAATGATTCTGACTGGTATATATTTTTCCATAAGAAAATTAGGTTTACTACATCTCACTATAATCATTGAAAACATGAGATTCTACAGTTGAAATATACATATTGGGCAACCTTATTTTAGGGAAAACCTGTTACTTATTTCAGCTTACATTACTGCAAATAAGGAATTCTCTCTCTCTTCTCTATCTGGTTAGGAAATATGGAAGGAAAAAACTTCTGTCTCCTTTTGTTATTTGTTCTTTTCTAAGAGAGAAGGGAAATGTTACTAATCAAAAAAACGACAGATATTGAGCTGTCTTGGTTTAAAGCCTATCCTCAAAGTCTGGCAAAGATTTGATGGCAGGAAGTTTATTTGACAGGTGATCCCAGGACGTAGAAGTTAGATTAGTAAGAAAGGTAGCACAGGGAGAGATAAAAGCTAATAAGGTTTATTTTAATGAGCTGCTTACTGCTGTGGTGAACTGAGCATTTTACTTGCTGAGGAATCTTGAAGAATCTTGAAGAATGCACTTCAGAACTGTACTAATAGAAGATAGAGAGGCATTTATCATTTAGAAGACTTCACACACTTCTAGGCTGAGCTTCATATATTCCTGGGACAGAAAAGCAGAGCCCTCCAAAGAACCCTTTTGATATTGGATGCTGGCAATAAGTGTGGATATGTCAATCATATCTGCACTGAAATTAGGCCAGAGGAACATGCTCCAGGGCGCTGTAAGTTTTTTTTCTATTGGGCATCATTATTACAAGAAATCCAAGTAACCATTGTATTAAATGGCAGGACTGATTATCTTTGCTTTCTCTCTATTTCACGTTTTCTTCCTGTGTTCCAGTCCTAACATGAATTCAGGGTGGCTACTGGCAAAGAGTTAGGGAGAGGTCCATGTCTGAGCCAGGCTCTCCAGTACAATTTCATTAAACTTCTGAGTTTGGGAAATTGTCAGTAAATTGACTAGTCATTAATAAAGATTGTACTTTGCATCCCATTACTCATCTGTGAGTTTTCTGTCTATGTCAGTAATCTAGAAATGAGAAAGAGTGAAACTTACATTCTTAAGACCTCCAAAATGATTATACTTTGTCTGCAAAGCAGTTAATCTCAAGCTCTTCATTCTCTACATTTACTAAACTCTATCATTTAGTAAATTTCCTATGTTGGAGAATTGCCTGATTTTAACTTTAGTTTTAATTAATTTATATGCTTATATTCTGTTATATATTTATTATAAATATATTATACTAATATGAGATACACAATAACTTATATATGAACTAGGTTTATGATGAGCTAAGTTTGTGATGAAGTTGCACAAAATTGTGGCTTAGAAGCAATATAATGTTGTCTCTCTAACATAAATGTCAGAACGTTAATAGTCCAGGGCTGGACAGCAACTGTGACCCATAAAGACCTCTCAAGTTCCATTCTCTCACTTCTTGCATTATACTGGACTTTCATTTCTAAGATCACTTTATGGGCTAAGACAATTCCTCCAAATTGAGTCTTCATAAACATACTCTATGCAACAGAAAGGAGAAGAGACAAAGAAGCAGGGTTAAAGGCTTATGCTAGCTATTGTATGAGAAAGATTCACACAGTAATCACGTTTGTATACCAATGTTTGATGGTTTGTCACTCAGTCATGTCTTAGCTGTCAATGAGGCTAGGAAATGTAGATTTTACTTTGGGGAGTAATGTTCCCTGTGAGTATTTCAGAGCACTGTTAATATGGAAGAAAGAAAGATGGTTGTTGGGGTTCCACTGTGAACCTGATAGTACCAATATGAGGAATAAATGGGAAAAAGCTTATTAATATATTTTGCATGTGACCTATCACAACAGCAACAATTCAGTATAGTATGTTTTAATTCATTATCTCTATCATCATAATCATCAGCAGCATTATTATTTGCTCTTAATTATTAAAAGGTTTTATTCATGTAATTCTGTCTAAATAAGCTAGCATATTTATCAGTGTCTGTATTTTCTTCTGTTCTGTCCCTCCATCAAGATTCTTTCAAATATATCTATCACTGTGGAAACCATGATTTTACTGGTTTTTACATTACCATTGCAGATAATGAACTGAATTATACTGAAATGGGATAATCACATTAATTTAAGAGTCTTGTTACCTATGACACATTGTTATTAAAGAAAATCACAAAAAAGTACCTTTGTTAAGTAGTTCATGCATTCAATCTCGCTTTATTTTTATTTGATTACTTACATATATGTGAGTATATAGACATATACATCATGTATTATTTAATTCCTAAAGACTAGCTAAGATGTTAAATATTCTGTCAGCTTTCCCTTCTATGTATAAAATTCCCATTAACCTTGTTAAACTAATCTATATTTTAGAAACACGAATATTATTATTCTGGTCAGATTCATTACTACATAGATTAAAATGTTTATCAATTCATAATTTTTCTATTTTATGAAATTAATTATATCACCATAACACTTTGTTTAAACCTTTAAAATGTTTTCTATCTTGCTTCAGAAGTAAGTGCCCTATTCTCCAAACTTGATGTGTAATTTAATTCATTATGATAGTAATTATCCACCTATCTGAAGTTTCACATATAGATAACGAGCATTAACAGCCCGGGCCCTACTAAGCTCTAAAACTTTAAAAAAGAAATATATAAATATATCTCAAACACCTGAGATTGCCATTAAAATGACCTGATATGGTAAAAATACTTTGAAAAATATCTTTGAGTTCTAGTCTTTTGGAGCTTTGAACTTCATGTTTTTTATTCTCTTTACCTTTCCACCCTTTTAATAATAACAATAAATTGCAAAATAGCTAAAGGCTTTGCAAAAACCTTGAATTAATTTTTTTCAATGCAGAGCAATACTCTTATCAAACTAATAGTATTTGGAATCATAATCATTAAGTAAGCTGTGATTAATAATTTAAACTGAAAACTAGTCATTTTAGTCTGAAATTGAAAAATTCAAGGAGTCTATGTGTTTGGGAAAAAGAGAGGGTTCTGTTGGCAGTTTCTATAAACAAAACTTTGTAAAACAAAAGAAAACAAACAAAAACCCAAATACAAAACTGAAAGCCATTGAAACATTTATTTTATGTACTGTTAATTTATGAGCTTCCCATCCTTTCACATAATCATCAAAGATATGTCTATAGATTGTTATATGCATACGTAAAAAATTCCTGTTACCATCCCTATTTTCTTTTTAATGGATTTTATTAATGTAACTATTAAACTAAATTTACCTTTATAATATCTGTGGAATATGAACTATGTTAGCGGCAACTGCTCTGGGTGTCTGGGTGTTGCAGATTCTGCAAAGCCTAGAGGCAGCTTGATTTCTGACATCAGGATAGATCTCAAGAAACATGTCAAACTCTTCCCCTACTCACAAGGTTAAAATGTACAATGTTGTAGTTATTGATTTCCTTCTATACATCAGACATGGTGCTAAGGGTTACACAGAATGGTTCTCAATTCAGTGTATGTGACTTACTCAATCTTTCTTCCCTTTTTCAGCCAATTGCCGAAAGGAGTTACCATCACTGGCAAGCCTTTCATATCTGCCCAATCACACCTAGCTCACTGCAATCTAGCTGCCAACTAAAGCACAAAACGATTTTTTGTTAAAGTTGCGATAAAATCCTACACGCCAAATTAAATGGAGAAAATGTTGGTCTTTTATTGGATTTCTCTGATGCAGATGACACTATTAATCACTAACACATACTTAAATTATATATGTTTTTGGTTTTTCTAAACCTTCTTGGATATATTTGCAATTTTTATGTATATTTTGTCTATTAGATTCCTAATCCTCTTTTGAATAAACTATTTATTCAGAAATAAATATTAAATATTCTGGATGAAAAATTTATCCAGAAATTTTTATTCTACATGCATGGCTTGAATCACTTCATCTAGTCTTGTAATTTTAATTATTTTTGATATAATTATTATTTCTAAATTTATGATCTTAAATCACGACTCTCTTGAGTTTTAGAATTGTGTATCTAACTCTCTCCTATTTATCAAAAGCATCTACCTCAACACTGAATATATTGGCTAAAAATAAAAACACCACTAGTACCAAGTATTGGTAAATGAGGAGCAACTGTGACTCTCATATTCTGCTGGTGGTAATGTAAAACACTACAAGCATTTTGGAAAATTCTTTCCAGTTGGTCATAAATTTAAACATACATGAATAAAAAAGATCTGGAAATTGCTATCATAAGTATTTACCCAAGACCTTGTGTCCACTCAATGATTTCAATGATTTATACATGGATATGCAGAGCAGCTTTACCTGTAATTGCCAAAACCTGGAAACAATTGAATTACCCATCAATAGGTATATTGATAAACAATTTGTGGTTCCACTTCATACAATGGAATACTATTCAGAAATGAAGAAGGAACACGCAATTGATGCCTTGAAAAATATGAATGAATATTGACATTATGCTAAAGACAAAAAGGTATACACAAAAGTACATACTGTACGATTCTATTTTAAAACAATTTAGAAAATATCTATAATCTATACTGGCAAAATGCAGGTCAGTAGATACAGGAGGCTGGATGTCTGAAAAAACTGACTGCAAACATTCATGAAGGAATATTTGGGGTCATAGAGATCTTCTGTATCTTGATTGTGGTGTTGGTTAGATAGATGCAAATGGATGTTGAAACACATTGAACTCTGTATTTATAATAGTTAAATTGTATTAGATGTTCTTAAGTTTCAATTAAGACGATTTAAAAATTGAATTCTTTGGCATTGCAACTCCTCCTGTCCCATCTCCGCTCCCCTCCCGCCAAAATATTCTTATTTTTCCTATATCAGCTTGGTGATAAGCCCGCAATATACCCAATCATCCAAGATGAAAGTTTGTAATTCATTCATGCCTGTCTTAGTCAGTTTGGGCTGCTGTAACAAATATACCATATACTGGGTGGCTTAATTACAAATATTGATTTCTCATAGTTCTGTAAACTGGGAACCCCAGCATCCAGGTTCTGGCAGATTCAGTGTCTGGTTGGGGGGCCACTTCCTTGTTTGCAGATGGCTGTTTTTCTTGTTGTATCCTCACATGGTAGAAAGCAGAGAGGAAACACTCATGTCTCTTCTTATAAAGTAGCTAATTCCATTTGTGACAGCTCCAACCTCATGACCTAATTACCTCCCAAAGGCCCACCTCCCACTACCATCACATCCTTTCAGTATATGAATTTTGGGTGGACACAAATATTGAGTCCATAACAATCTCTAATTTCATCCTTTCCTTCATTCCATGCCCAATTGCCAAACTCTTCTGTCTATATCATCTATTACTCAGATGTGCCAAACCCTATGTCTTCACTCCCTTTCTTCTAATAATCCTCCCCCTTTGTGGTTAACACAGCTGGTTTACATGAAACTGACCCTCACCAACTACCAATCAGATTTAGTTAGGACCTATTATAATGCTTTATCAAATTGGCCAGATAATTTGGTTTTAGGTAGGGAAATGTAAATGTATTTACTACTTCTTCCCAGGTTTTAGTGAAACTATTAAAAAGAAGCATTACCTTTCCACTAGTGTAATCATCAAATATGGTAATATAACTCTAGAACTTATGGAAAATATTAAGGGCCAATAAATAAAATATAATTTCTTCCCTCATAGTACATAACTAAATGAGAAACAAGACATAGGAGACATTGAAGTAGAGATCTATATTTCAAATTTATTACTGATATACCTATTTGGAGAATGTAACTTTTGTATTGCAGCCAAATAGGCTTGCTAGGATTGTCTCACAACAAGACGGATTTACCTGTTTAGGCATTGGCACCCGTGTACAACTAAACTGCAGGCCTCTTGTACGAGAGCTGGCTCTGTGACAAAATGACCAAACAAGAAAGAAAACTAGAATGAACCTTTTCTGTGGCAGGCAGATATGAAAGAGAGAGGTTACTGAGTTAGGCATGTATAATTTCTTCTTCCTGAGGGATTTATCAGGTAAGTCCCTTCTTCTCAGGGGAAAAAGTTAATATGGCATGGAAATAATCAGAAAGTATTCCTCTCCTACAACACCATGCTGGAGATTAGAGAAGACATTTCCTCTGCTATATGGAAATATAAAGTATGGGGATTAAGTGCCATACCCTAAAAGAGTTGTCTCTGACCTTTCCTCTAGCATACATAACAGACAAAGAGTCCACATCGGAATGAAGCCAACACAGAGAAATGATTAGTAGGAAAATTGAGAAAAAAATTTTCTGAAGACATTGTTTGAACACCCGAATTCAGACTGGCAAGTCCTTTATGTCACTGTTCCCTGGCTCCATAACGAGGGTGATGACCTTTATTACTGTAAATAGAGAAGGAGCTATGGCTGGAGATCTTATGCAGAAGGGTTTGGCTGATTTTCTTCTAATACACAACCTCAATTATTGGCCCAAATGCTTGTGCAGTCTTCTGTATGCATGAGGCTTTATGTCCATTGACAAGTGCCAACTTGAAGTACTGCATGTTCACCAGTTTAATGAGTTACTTATGGCATCATAGAATTCAGAGCTAAGCTAGCTGTGAACTGTTGAGGCCCTTGTGATGATGTGCAAAGGGCTCACATGTGAGGTGATAGCAGGGAAATTGTACAAATTGGATAACCAACTGATGGTTGAAGATAGTATTTGCTAAAGGCAAAAGATATTAGTTTTCTGTTCTTATTAATTATGTGAAGCTTCTTATTCTAAATTTAATGTATAAGTTGATAGACAATTATTAGGTGCATGTTAGCAGCAAAAGAAAAAAATCATACATGTCACTGAAGTTTGAGAAACATTGTCACAGTGCAGCTAAGTACAATATCATCATGTATATTTTCTTCTGAAACTACTCCCTTTTCTACATAAGACATTAACATTACTACTAATACGATAATTTTGGCTCTACTGCTTAAATTCTAGGAAGTGGTGTTGAAATACTTTTTAAAGCATAAAACCAGTTTAGTAGTTTGCATTTTACATTGACTTGAAACTAAATAATGCAAAGCCTAAGATATTGTTGACATATCCATGGGGAGATTATGAATAAAATAGGACAACACACAGTTCACCAGAGTAAATATATGAATCCAGTATTCAACTTTATATTTTATCATATAAAAATTTGTAGAGTAATATTATCTCATGAGTTCTTATGAGCATTAAATGGTAAATGAGCTAACATTGATATACTTATAATAGTGTCAAAGAGATTACCATCACCACAAACTATTTTGTTAAAAAAATTAAGATGTTGGCAGGGTGCGGTGGCTCACGCCTGTAATCCCAGCACTTTGGGAAGCCAAGACAAGCAGATCACGAGGTCAGGAGATGGAGACTATCCTGACTAACACGGCGAAACCCGTCTCTACTGAAAATACAAAAAATTAGCCGGGCGTGGTGGCGGGCGCCTGTAGTCCCAGCTACTCGGGAGGCTGAGGCAGGAGAATGGCGTGAACCCGGGAGGCGGAGCTTGCAGCGAGCCGAGATCGCGCCACTGCACTCCAGCGTGGGCGACAGAGGGAGACCCCGTCTCAAAAAAAAAAAAAAAAGAAAAATTAAAATGTTAAAATTTTTCCTTCTCTCAAACACATGCACAAACCTCAGCTCAGTATTTGTAAAGAAAAAATGATTAACATCTCGACATTCAAAAATCTGTGCTCTTACAGGTAAAGATCAAATACCTTAACTGCAAGGCTGTATGCAAGTAGCGTTATAAAAATGTTTCTCCAAACCTATAGTATATTTGAAAGAAACCCTCTAATCAACCCAAAAGAGTCGTCTATTTGTTTTTCACAAAATATTTGCCAAACTTCTTTTCTCCCCACCGTTTTATTTGCTGGTTTCTTTTTGTGAGACACTCTCTGGTATCTTCTGCTTATAGAAATCCTACTCTTAATCCAAGACTTTAATTCTAACATTCTTCATGAATAATATTTTGATTGACTCAAATTTGGGCTATCACACAATACTTTAGATCATGTATGTTTATGTATGCCTTTTCTCTCTAAGCAGTGAATCACGTTTTTTAAAAGATTAGGGTATATTCTTCACATTATATTGTGTATTCAAGACTAAATTAGTGCCCCATGTTGCACAATTTACAAAGGACTGTTGATGACCATACTACTGCAGATACTCAACGTTTTACATCTTCAGGACCTTCATGGCCACAGTCTGCATAATTCAGTTCAGGTGAAAAAAAAGTTTTTCTGTCAATATTGGATTTAGTATGAGATTTATCAAGTATGACTTAAAATAGATGTTAACAGGATTTAGAGTACAAAAATTAAGGACAAAGAGAATAAGTAATGTAACAATGCTTCTAAATCTTCATCTTATAGAGAGAAGAAACATACCAAATAAAGAACAGCCTGGATATTTGATCTATGATTTATAGATATACATAAAATCATATGCCCAATATTTAGAGAATACTTGTTATTTCAAATAAAAATGGAGTAGTACTAACAACTTACCACATACTGTGTTAGGTCACTAAGCACATTTCAATGCAAACAAAAAATCATTACTATATAATCACATAATCTGGTAGGTCAGAAATGTATCTGATCAGAAGGCTATGCCTCTCTTTTGGGTAAACACTGAGTGTAGTAATGACAGGGATAGCATTGAAAATCAGTGGATAAAGAGTTGACCCTTTAGTAAATGGTACTGGAAAAAGTAGATGCCATATGGAAATAAATAGATTCCCCATCTCATTCTAAAAATAAGTTCCATATGAATTAAAGCTGAAAATATGAAAACAAAACTTTCACAACTCATGAGAATATAGAGGACAATAAATTTCTAACCCTTAGTAATGAAGGATTTCTTAACCAAGGGCTAAATTTCTATAAATAAGAAAAAAAAGATGTATTTCAGAATATTAAAATTAAAGTTTTGTAATGAATTAAAGAGAATGTTAATTCGATGGATTCCTATGTTAAATTTATTTAAATTAACTTATTGAAATTAAACTAACAAGCTCCACAAATCAGTGAGTAGAGGCAAAGAACTAAAAGGAACATGAATGAAAGATACACAAGCAAATAATAGAAGCAGAAACTATAGCAGGCTATGTATATGTACATATATATAGTCATGTGTCACTTGTCAACAACAGGGACATGTTCTGAGGAAGTTGGTCCCCAAGTACTTTTTGTTGTTGTATAAGCATCATAGAGTGTACTTCTCCAAACTTAGATGGTATAGACTGCTACCCACCTATGGGTAGGTATATATGGTATAGCCTATTGCTCCTAGGCTGCAAACCTGAACAGCATTTTATTGTACTGAATACTGTAGGCAATGTAACACAATGGTAAGTTTTTGTGTATCTAGATCTAACTAAACACAGAAAAGGCACAGTAAAAATATGTTATAGTGAATAAAAATGGTACACCTGTATAGGGCACGTATCATAAATGAAGCTTGCAGGACTGGAAATTACTATGGATGAGTCAGTGAGTGAGTGGTGAGTGAATGCTGAGGCCTAGAACATTACTGTACACTACTGCAGACTTTATAAACTATATACTGATGCTACCCTCAATTTTTAAAAATATTTTTCTTTTTCAATAGTGAATTAACCTTAGCCTACTATAAATTTTTTACTCTATAAACTTAATTTTCTAACTTTTTGACTCATTTAGAATAACGCAGTTTAAAAAGTACACTGTATAACTGTACAAAAATATTTTCTTTATTTATATCTTTATTCTATAAGCATTTTCCTATTTTAAAAAGTTTAAACTAGTTTTTACTATTTAAAATTATGTATTAACAACTAAAACTCAAAGTCACACATTAGCCTAGGCCTACACTTATATCTTACAAGATATAAGATATTTATATCTTGTAAGATATAAGATATTTGTATCTTGTAAGATATAAGATATTTGTATCTTGTAAGATATAAGATATTTGTATCTTGTAAGATATAAGATATTTGTATCTTGTAAGATATAAGATATTTATATCTTATACCTTCCACATCTTGTCTCACTGGAAGGTCTTCAGGGACAATAACGTGCATGGAGCTGTCATCTCCCATGATAACAAAGCCTTCTGAAATATCTCATGAAAGACCTGCCTGAGGCTGTTTTACAGTCAACTTAAAAAAAAATATATATATATATATATAAGTACAAGTGCCTCTAAATAAAGTGCCTCTAAAATAAAGATAAAAATTATAGTAAATACATAAACAGTTGCATAGTTGCTTATTACCAAGTATTAAGTACTATGTGTAACTGATTGTGCTATACTTTTCTTTCTACTGGCAACACAGTAGTTTTGTTTACGCCAGCATCAACACAAACACACGAGTAGTGTATTGTGCTATGCTGTTACAATGGCTATGAAATCACTTAGGCAGTAGGAATTTTTCAGCTGCATTATAGTTTTATGAGGCCATCATCATATATGAGGTTCATTGTTGACAAAATCATTATGTGGTGCACGACTGTATATATATTTTATATATATTACATATAAGTATATAAAATATGTTCAAACTGAATATTAATAAGTATAAGAAGAATGTAACTAATAAGTTTCCATTTCACACCTATCAGACTAACAAAGTGTAAAGTTCATAATATTAGCTATTAATGAGGATGTAAGAAAATTAAATTCATTATGCAATATACATGGACATGGAAATTGGAATATTTGGAAAGGCAATATTTAGAAGAGTTGAATATTTTGTGTATCCCTGAAATTTTAATAATGTAAATATTCATATATGTATACAGGAAACAAATGCAATTATTTTATTGCAGCATTGTGTAGAATGGCAACAACTTGGAAAAAAATTTAAATATTTTTCAATAAAGTAATTTTAAAACTCTGGTATATTCATATAGTAGTATCCTAAAAAACAGTTAACAAGAATGAACTACATCCTTTTAGTTTCAAGGTGGCCAATCTCAAGAGCATAATGCTGAGTGAAAATAGAAAATTGCAAAAGAATATTTACAGTATGATATCAATGAGGTAAACTTTATTTTATTTTGTTTTATTTTATTTTATTTTTTGAGACAGGGTCTTTCTCTTTTGCCCAGGCTGGAGTGCAGTGGAATGGCAATCATGGCTCTCTGCAGCCTCAACCTCCTGGGCTCAAGCAACCCTCTTGGCTTGGCCTTGTGAGTAACTGGAACTACAGGTGTGTGCCACCACACATGGCTAATTTTTGTATTTTGTGTAGAAATGGGGTCTCACCATGTTGCCCAGGCTGAGAACAATGTAAATCTTATAAACACACAGACTAGCACTATTTTACATGATATAAGTAGAGAAATAAATATATAATCATACATAGAATAAACAACTTCAAGTTTAAGCAAATAAGAAAAGAGTGAGATAAGGAAGATGCATTAACTAGTTTTGTAATACTGTATTCAGAAATATTTTGAGGTGCCTGTAATCACAGCACTTTGGGAGGCTTCTGACCTGAGGTCAGAAGTTTGAGACCAGCCTGGCCAATATGGCAAAACCCCATCTCTACTAAAAACACAAAAATTAGCTGGGCATGGTAGTATGCACCTGTAATCCTAGCTACTCAGGAGACTGAGGCAGGGGGATCACTTGAACCTGGGAGATGGAGGTGGCAGTGAGCCGAAATTGCACCACTGCACTCCAGCCTGGGCAACAGAGCAAGCAAGACTCCATCTCAAAAAAATAAAAATAAAAATATTATGAGGCAAATATGACATAAAAACATTTTACATCTGAGTACAGTGTACATGAGGTTTATTACATATTTAAAAGTAATAAAATTTAAAAATAGAATAATTTTATAATTTATGAATGTAGAAACTAAGTTCAAAGACATCAATTTAGAATATTTCTTGTTTTTCCATTTATAATAATTCATAAAGATGCTACCACTGACACATTTAGTAAACATATTCTGGTTTCCTGTGATACCAAATATTTTAAACTTTACAGAGGGGAAAACATAAATAATGCTTGTTCTCTTATGCTTAATAATATTATAGTAGATTTCTATATTAAATACACCTCTTAGAAACCTCATATGACCAGAAATATTCTTTGATTAGTAGAAGGGTTAGTTCCATTAGAGTAGTGGCCTACATTATATATTATCCTAGATTTATTTTTACTTTTCTAGGAAATTATCTACAATATCTAATTTTATTTTATTCAATAATATATAACAATTATTATTTTGCATTTACCTGAAAAGATGAGGCACATTTTACTTATCATTTTTTCCTGGAAAGCATAGAAGAGCTATATGTTCATAAAATGGAATTCATACATCCTAATTTTATAAAATATAAGTGAGGCTAAAATTGACTAAATATACTGATATGGTTTGGCTGTGTCCCCACCCAAATCTCATCTTGAATTGTAACTCCCACAGTTCACACATTTCATGGAGGAACCCAGTGGGAGGTGATTGAATTATACAGATGGATCTTTCCTGCACTATCCTCGTGTTAGTGAATGAGTCTCTGAGGAGATCTGATGGTTTTAAAAATGGGAGTTTCCCTGCACAAGCTCTCTTCTCTTGTCTGCCACCATATGAGATGTGCCTTTCACCTTCCGCCATGATTGTGAGGTCTCCCCAGCCATGTGGAACTGTAAGTTCATTAAACCTCTTTTGCTTCCCAGTCTTGGGTATGTCTTTATCAGCAGCGTGAAAACGGACTAATACTTATAGTTCATTTTGTTGAGACTAAGCGCACAGAATTTATCTAAAAAATACTTCAAAACTGCTTCTTATGCTTCAGAATCAGTTCTAAGCACCTTATAAATGTGAGTTCATATACCTTTATGCCAATCCAGTGAGGTAGACACTAAGATACCCTCATTTCACATGTGTGAAATCTAAGGCACTGCAAACTTGTTTAATGTCACAGAGCTTGTAGATGATAGATTCAGCCCATGAACTTTGCTCTAAACATGCTGCTTCTAACTACTCTGTTATGTTCTAATAATGGGCATATGTATGCATTGGTGTCAATCTGAAATTTAGTTGAATATATGATTTTTGGTAACCTGATTGGTATGATTTTTGGTAACCTGATTGGTATGATTTTTGGTAACCTGACTGGTCTTCTTGTAAATGCACTTGGGCTTGTTGGAATACACATGGTCCAATCTAGGTATTGTAATAATCGTGCTAACATGTTGAAACAAAAAATTCAGTTACTCACTGCAAAGATTCCCACTAATAGGGTAATTTTCTTTTCTGCTAAATGAAGACACAGCCCCAATATAAGAAACTTCTAAATATAACAGCACAAGATCTGTAATGAGCCAACTTTTTCTACAACTGAAATAGCCCACAGTCCTTAATTAAAGCAAAAATTAACCAGTTTCAACAACGAAGACAGATCACCTTTTGTCAGGTCTTTGAAAAGATGACAACACTACCTTCTCATCTCAAGTTCAGTCATGATGTATTTTGCTTCTTTAGCAGGGTTAACTCAATGTGAAAGACCTAAGTAGCAGGTTCTTCAAGTTGTCATCACAGCAGAAATCTCACTGGGAGTCCTGTTTTCTATTATAAGCCTAATTTGGCATATTGATTAATTTAATTTAATTCATTAATAATTAAATTGGCCACCTACACTATATGAGGTGCTGAGGTAGATGCTTTGGGAAATGCAAGATTTATATTGCTCTCAATATCCCACACTCTAGGGCACACCTTATTTGACCACATTTCCTGTCTCAGATTGTGATATGTCTTTACTCCAACTTACCAAGTCAGATTCTTCAATGCACAGCCTTGGGGCTCAATAGTTCTGTGTGTACCAATTCATTTTTTGCTTTTGTCAGCAATAAACCTTAAA